>NC_000014.9:38096561-38399591 GCF_000001405.40 Homo sapiens
AAAAAAGAATTAGGGAGAGATACTTTCTCAGATAAACAAAAACTGATAGGATTCATCACTAAAACTGCCTTACAAGAAATGCTAGAGTGTTCTTTAAGATCATATGAAATGATGCTAATTAGTAACATTAAAACATACAAAAGTAAAAAACTTGCTGATAAAGGTTAAGTGTGTGTGTGTGTATGCATATGTGTGTGTTCCTTTTAAAGTATTCCCCTTTAAAGGAACACTTCCAAACTCATTTTACAATGTCAGTATTACCCTGACACCAAAACCAGACAAGTACACTACAATTTTAAAAAGCCAACAATGAACATAAATGCCATAGTCCTCAACAAACTTTAGCAAACATATTCAACAGCACATTAAATGGTCATTCATTATGATTAAGTGGGATTAATCTCTGAGATGCAAGTATAATGGTTCAACATGTGCAAATCAATCAATCAATATGATATAACACATTAACAGAATGAAGGATAAAAGTCATATGCTCATTTCAATAGATGCAGCAAAAGCATTTGACAAAACTTAACTATCTTTCATGATAATACCTCAAAATATCAGGTATAGAAGGAATTCACTTCAACATAATAAAGACCATTCATATAAAACCAACCACAGCTAACATAATACTGAATGGTGAAAATCTGAAAGCTTTTCCTTAAAAAATAAAAATATGACAAGGTTGCACACTCTGGCTATGTCTGTGCAACACAGTACTGAAAGTCCTAACTGTAGCAATTAGGCAAGAAAAAAAAATTAAAAGCATCCAAATTGGAAAAGAAGAAGTTAAATACTCCCTGTTTGAAAATGACATGATCTTATATATAGAAAAGTCTAAAGACTCTACCAAAAAACTGTTAGAACTATAAACAAATTCAGTAAAGTTGAGAAACCCAAAACCAACATGCAAAAACCAGTTGCATTTCTAGACACTGGAAAGGAGCTATCTGAAAAAGAAGTAAGAAAACAATATCATTTGTAATAGCATCAAAAAGAATAAAATAATTGAGTAAAATTAACCAAGGAGGAAAAACATCTGTATACTGAAAATTATTAAACACCAATAAAAGAAATTGAAGACAGAAATAAACAGAAAGATATCTTATCAATAGTATCAAAAATGGGATGCATACTATCCAAAGCAATCTACAGAGTCAATGCAATCCCTATTAAAATTCCAATTACAGATTTTTCATAGAAGTAGAAAAAACAATCCTAGAATTTGTATGGAATCCCAAAAGATCCTGAATAGCTGAAACAATCTGGAGCAAGAAGAACAAAGCTGGAAGTATCACACCTCCTGATTTCAAATTCTATTACAAAGCTATAATAATTGAAACATTATGGTACAAATAGACACATAGACCAATGGAACACAATAAAAAGTCCAGAAATAAACTTACACATATATGGTAAACTAATCTTTGACAAATGAACCAAGAAAACATAATGATGAAAGGATAATCTTTTCAATAAACTGTGTTGGGAAAACTGAATATTCACATGCCAAAAAATGAGGGCACCAATCCCATTCACAAAGGCTGCACTCTCATGATCTAATAACCTCCCAGAGGTCCCACCTAATATCATCACTTTGAGAGTTAGAATTTCAACACATGAATTTTGAAGGGATGCAAACATTCACATCATAGAAATTACATACCTTTTAGAAGTACTAAAATGGAAAAAACAGCAATAACACCAAATGCTGATAAGGATGAAGAAAAACTGGGTTACTCATATATGTGGTGGAAATGCAAAATGGTACAGCCAGTCTGGAAAATAGTTTAGCAATTTCTTTGAAACATGCAACTATCTTAAAACCTTGAAATTGTTCTTCTGGCCATTTATCTCATATAAACAACTTATGTTCATACAAAAACCTGTACATGAAGTTTTATAGCAGCTTTATTTGAATTATTCCCAAACTGGAAACAACCCAGGTGCCCTTCGATGAGTGAATGATCAAACTGTGGTACATCTGAATCACGAGAATGCCGTTCATCAGTAAAAAGGAATGAACTATTTATACATGTAACAACTCAGATAACTATTCAGAGAATTTTACTTAATCAAAATAGCCAGTCCTGCTGGGCATAATGACTCATGCCTATAATCCCAGCAGCTTGGAAGGCTGAGGTGGTAGGATTGCTTCAGCCCAAGAGTTCAAGGCTGCCATGAACTGTGGTCATTCCACCGTACTCCAGCCTGGGCAACAGAGTGAGACCCTGTCTCTAAAAATAAATAAATAAATAAAGAATAGCCAGTTATAAATATACTGTATGATTCTATTTATATAACAGTCTTGAAATGAAAAAATTATAGACATGGAGAACAGTTTAGTGGTTTAGAGAGGTTAAGGAGGGCGTGAGAGCAAGAAGGAAGTAGGTGTATGAAGGATCATTGTAATGATGGGAAATGTTCTGCATCTTGACTGTATCAATGTCAACATCCTTTTTGTGATATTGCATTATAGTTTCCCAAGATTGTATCATTGGGAAAACTAGGTACAAGGTCAACAATACCTCTGTATTATTTCTTACAACTGCATGTGAATCCACAATTAACTCAAAATAAAAGTTTAATTTAAATAAACATGTTTAAGACATTGAGACATGTATAAATATGTCCATGAAAGAGAAACATAGATAAAATGTTATAGTTTAGAGAGGAATAACGTATTTATATGTGAGGAAACTGAGAACTATTTTATACAACAGATGAGTTGGATTTGGACGTTCAAATCTAGAGTGTTCAAGCAGAGAAAACCATGTAAGATATCCTTCTAGAAAATGCATGACATATTTGGAAGCCAAGTTCAATTTCACTGGAGTCCCATGTTCTTGTAGGACAGTAGTGAAATAAGATTGAACAGGATGTAGAGAGACTGTGGAGAGCTTTAAATACTATTCTGAGGAATTTTTAGTTGTGCATGTAGGCAGATCTACTAAGGGGTTTGAGATGGGGTAGAGTATGGCTAGCACTTTGGGCATCTGAATGTTGAAAATGGTTGTGGGGAGGTAAAGATATCAGAGAGGATGGAAATGATGGAAAACCACTTAAGAAAGGATGGCAGTCAGGCTGGGCATGGTGGCTCACGCCTGTAATCCCAGCACTTTGGGAGGCTGAGGCAGGCCGATCACGAAGTTGGGAGTTCAAGACCAGCCTGGCCAATATGGTGAAACCTGTCTCTACTAAAAATACTAAAATTAGCTGGGCATGGTGGTGCACACCTGTAGTCCCAGCTACTCAGGAGGCTGAGGCAGGAGAATCACTTGAACCTGGGAGGTGGAGGTTGCAGTGAGCCAAGATTGCACCACTGCTCTCCAGCCTGGGCAACAGAGCGCGACTCCATCTCAAAGCAAAGAAAAGAAAGAAAGAAAGAGAGAAAGAAAGAAAGAAAGAGAGAAAGAAAGAAAGAAAGAAAGAAAGGATGGCAATCATTTAGGAGTTCAGTGAATTCAGGAAGGAATACAGTGGTGGACATGAGGAAATGGTTCAGAATCCAACCTGTTTTTCAAGTGTGTCTTTACCTGTGCTGAACACAGGAATTGAAACACAATAGATGCCTAATAAATATTTGTTAAACCCAAACATGAGTGGATAAATAATTAAACAAATATAGTTTTATATACATATAAATATATATTTATATATTTATACATATAAAATATATTTATATATTATATTTATACATATAAAATATATTATATATTATATTTATACATATTTATACATATAAATATATTATATATTATATTTATATATATTTATACATATAAATATATTATATAATATATTTATATTACATATAAATATATTATATAATATATTTATATTACATATAAATATAATATATAATATATTTATATTACATATAATATATATATTACATATAAATATAATATATAATATATTTATATTACATATAAATATAATATATAATATATATTTATATTACATATAAATATAATATATAATATATATTTATATTACATATAAATATAATATATAATATATATTTATATTACATATAAATATAATATATAATATATATTTGTATTACATATAAATATAATATATATATTTGTATTACATATAAATATAATATATAATATATATTTGTATTACATATAAATATAATATATAATATATATTTGTATTACATATAAATATAATATATAATATATATTTGTATTACATATAAATATAATATATAATATATATTTGTATTACATATAAATATAATATATAATATATATTTGTATTACATATAAATATAATATATAATATATATTTGTATTACATATAAATATATAATATATATTTGTATTACATATAAATATATAATATATATTTGTATTACATATAAATATATAATATATATTTGTATTACATATAAATATATAATATATATTTGTATTACATATAAATATATAATATATATTTGTATTACATATAAATATATAATATATATTTGTATTACATATAAATATATAATATATATTTGTATTACATATAAATATATAATATATATTTGTATTACATATAAATATAATATATAATATATATTTGTATTACATATAAATATAATATATAATATATATTTGTATTACATATAAATATAATATATATTTATATTACATATAATATATATTTATATTACATATAATATATATTTATATTACATATAATATATATTTATATTACATATAATATATATTTATATTACATATAATATATATTTATATTACATATAATATATATTTATATTACATATAATATATATTTATATTACATATAAATATATAAATATACCTATATACTTAATCTTCACAATTCTGTGAGGTAGGGATTATCTGCATTTGAATGAGAAGCCAAAGGAATTTAAAAAGAGAAGTAGCCAAGGCTGTAATTTATTTGAGCAACCTTCAGAAGGAAAGTTGAGGAAGTTGCAGAAGAAAAGTTGGAAGACAGCAGAGGTTGGTTTGTTAAGTTTAAGGACAGAAGTCATCTCCATAACATAAAAGTGAAAGGTGAAGTAGCCAGTGCTGATGTTGTAGCTGCAGCAAGTTAACCAGAAGATCTAGCTAAAGTAATAGATGCAGTTAGCTACAATAAACAATGGATGTTCAATGTAAACAAAACAGCATAATAGCATTCTATTAGAAGAAGATGCCATCTAGGATGTTCATAGCTAGAGAGGAGATGTCAATGCAAGCCTTCAAAGCTTCAAAGGACAGGCTGACTCTCTTCTTAGGGGATAATGCAGCTAGTGACTTTAAGTTTAAGTGAGCCAAGGCTTATTTACCATTCTGCTAACCTTAGGACCCTTAACAATTATGCTAAATCTACTCTGCTGTGCTCTATCAATAGCGTGACAAAGCCTGGATGACAGCACATATGTTAGGAGCATGGTTAACTGATTATTTTAAGTCCCTTGTTGAGACCTGCTGCTCAGAAAAAAAAATAATTCCTTTCAAAATATTACTGCTCACTGACAATGCACCTTGTCCCCCAGGATCTCTGATGGAGATGTACAAGGAAATTTATCTTGTTTTCATGCCTCCGAACACAATATCCATTCTGCAGCCCATGGATTCAAGGAGTAATTTTGACTTTCAAGTTTTATTATTTAAGAAATACATTTTATAAGGCTACAGCTGCCATAAATAGTAGTTCCTCTGATAGATATAGGAAAAGTAAATTGAAAACCTTCTGGAAAGGATTAATCATTCTAAATGCCATTGAGAATGTTCATGATTTATGAGAGGAGGTCAAAATGTCAACCTTAATAGAAGTTTGGCAAGGACTTCATGTCGAAAACACCAAAAGCAATGGCAACAAAAGCCAAAATTGACAAACGGGATCTAATTAAACTAAAGAGCTTCTGCACAGCAAAAGAAACTACCATCAGAGTGAACAGGCAACCTACAGAATGGGAGAAAATTTTTGCAATCTACTCATCTGACGAAGGGCTAATATCCAGAATCTAGAATGAACTCAAACAAATCTACAAGAAAAAAACCAACAGCCCCATCAAAAAGTGGGCAAAGGATATGAACAGACACTTCTCAAAAGAAGACATTTATGCAGCCAAAAGACACATGAAAAAATGCTCATCATCACTGGCCATCAGAGAAATGCAAATCAAAACCACAATGAGATACCATCTCACACCAGTTAGAATGGCAATCATTAAAAAGTCAGGAAACAAAAGGTGCTGGAGAGGAGGTGGAGAAATAGGAACACTTTTACACTGTTGGTGGGACTGTAAACTAGTTCAACCATTGTGAAAGTCAGTGTGGCTATTCCTCAGGGATCTGGAACTAGAAATACCATCTGACCCAGCCATCTCATTACTGGGTATATACCCAAAGGATTATAAATCATGCTGCTATAAAGACACATGCACACGTATGTTTATTGCGGCACTATTCACAATAGCAAAGACCTGGAACCAACCCAAATGTCCATAAATGATAGACTGGATTAAGAAAATGTGGCACATATACACCATGGAATATTATGCAGCCATAAAAAAGGATGAGTTCATGTCCTTTGTAGGGACATGGATGAAGCTGGAAACCATCATTCTCAGCATACTATTGCAAGGACAAAAAACCAAACACCACATGTTCTCACTCATAGGTGGGAGTTGAACAATGAGAACACATGGACACAGGAAGGGGAACATCGCACACCGGGGACTGTTGTGGGGTGCGGGGAGCAGGGAGGGATAGCATTAGGAGATATTCCTAATGTTAAATGACGAGTTGATGGGTGCAGCACACCAACATGCGCATGTATACATATGTAACTAACCTGCACGTTGTGCACATGTACCCTAAAAGTTAAAGTATAGTAAAAAAAAAAAAAGTTTTGAAAAAGTTGGTTTCAGCCCTAATGGATGACATGAAGGCATTCAAGACTTCAATGGAGAAAGTAACTGCAGAGTGGTGGAAATAGCAAGAGGACCAGAATTAGAAGTGGAGCCTGAATATGTGTCAGAATTGCTTCAATCTCATGATAAAACTTGAATGAATGAAGAGTTGCTTTCTTGCTATGAGCAAAGAAAGTAGTTTCTTGAGATGGAATTTTTCCTGGTGAAGATGCTGTGAATATTGTTGAAATGACAACAAAGGATTTAGAATATTCCATAAAATTAGCTGATAAAGCAGAAACAGGGTTTCAGAAGATAGATTCCAAATTTGAAAGAAGTTCTATTGTGGGTAAAATGCTATCAAACAGTGTCACATGCAACAGAGAAACCTTTCCTGAAAGGTTAAGTCAATTGATGTGTCAAATTTTATTGATGCCTTATGATAAGAAATTGCCACAGCCATCCCAATATTCAGCAACAACCACTACCCCGATCAGTGAGCAGCCATCAACATCAAGACAAGACGCTCTGGGCAACCCTTCTGGGTTCCCATCCACTGCATGGAAGCTTTACTTTCATTTTTACTTTACTTTTGCCTTTGCTTTAATAAATCTTGCAGCTGTACACTTTTTGGGTCTGTGCATTTCTCTACTCGAGCTGTAACACTTGCCACTGTGGCCCACAGCTTCATTCCTTGAAGCCCATGAGACCACGAACCTCTTGATCGAGAAAAACCTTTGATGGAAGAAGACTTCTCGTCTCCTTTCTGGGAGCCCATCTGGGATTTCTCCAAAGTGGTGAGTAACATTGGACCCCTTTCTCTTGCTATTCTTTCTATCTTCTCACTAGAAATTGGAGGAAAACACAGGGCGCCTGTCAGCCATTTAAAAGCAACAAGTGTGGCTGCCAGACTTAAGACGGGTTTGAGGGTTTCTGGGAAAGGGCTCTCTAACAACCCCCAGCCCTCTGGTCTGGGAGCATTGGTTTGCCTGGAACCAGTTCCACCTTTCTCTACCTTTCCTGGGAAAAGCTGAGGGCTGGCTAGAGGTGGAAAACTGTCATCCTGAACTCTTGGCACTGACCTGGTCGAGATCATGGCACAGCAAGAAGCTTCTACTCCACAGCCACCCATGTGTGCATTCCCTGCCTATTCTGACCCACGCCTCCTGGGTCCTAACGTCCTCAGAGAAGACTTTCTTCAGGCCCTATCCTCTAGGATCTTTCCTACCTCTGAGTCTAAGAATATTTTGGCTAGGAGCCTAAGTCGAGTGGGGTGACAATCCAAAGACCCTTGCCCATGGTGCCCCCAGGCTTATTCTTATGCAAATTGGTATCAATATACTTATACAGGACCTGTCCCTCATAACCTATACCCTAGGCACTACGTGGGACATCAAAAGGCATGTCAGTGGCTGATAGAAGGCCTAGGACATTTTTCCTTTTGTTGCCATAAACTTACTCCAGATTGCAGAGGCTACTTTAATTACCACCTTTCCTGTCTGGGATCAGCAATCAGAACTGTAGAACTTCTCCACTTTAAGCAGTCAGACTTATGTGCCAAAAACAATATAATAGACAATAGCTCCCCCGATTCAAGTCCAAAGGTCAATGAATATTCTCAGGAGGGCAAATAGGGGACAGAAAATTTGGGTACGAAAAGCACTGTTCCAACCTTGGTCCTCCAATTTGCCGCTGCCTACCCTAAAAAAAACTTCAGAAGTCTGACTCGTGTGCTGAGAAAAATTTGGAAACTCTATTGAATTTGGCAGCTTTGGTGTTTTATAATAGGGATCAGGAGAAGCAGGTTGAACGAGATAGACGAGACAAGAGAAAGGCCATTGCCTTAGTCACGGCCCTCAGGCAGATGAACTTTGGTGACTCTGAAAGAAAGAAGGGCTGGGCAGGCAACCCACCTAACAGGACTTGATATCAGTGCGGCTCACAGGGGTACTTCAAAAAGGACTGCCCAAACAACAATAAGTCGCACCCTCATCCATGTCGCTTGTGCCAGGGGGAATCACTGGAATGCACACTGCCCCCAAGGGTGAAGGTCCTCTGAGCCAGAGGCCACTAACCAGATGGGCCAACAACAGGACTGAGGGTGCCTGGGGCAGGTGCCAGCCCATGCCATCACCCTCACAGAGCCTCGGGTAAGCTTAACCATTGAAGGTCAGGAAACTAACTTCCTCCTGGACACTGGTGAGGCCTTCTCAGTTTTACTCTTCTGTCCTGGACAACTGTCCTCCAGATCTGTCACCATCAAAGGGGTCCTAGGACAGCCAGTCACTAGGTATTTCTCCCACCCCCTAAGTTGTGACTGGGGAACCTTATTTTTCTCACATGCCTTTCTTATTATGCCTGAGAGCCCTACTTCCTTACTAGGGAGGGACATATTAGCTAAAGCAGGGGTCATTATATACTTAAATATAGGAGAAGGAATACCTGTTTGTGCCCTCTACTCCATGAGGAAGTTAATCCTGAAGTCTGAGCAGAGGAAGGACAATACGGACTAGCAAAAAAATGCTTATCCAGTTCAAGTTAAATTAAAAGATCCTACCTCCTTTCCTTATCAAAGGCAGTACCCCCTCAGACCAGAAGCCCAACAAGGGTTACAAAAGATCGTCAAAGACCTAAAAGCACAGGGACTAGTCACTCACTCCTGCTTGCTAAATTTATTTAATGTCACCCTTACCGAAATTCACAAGGCCTCCAGCCAGAATCCAACTGACTGCTGGATGTGCCTCCCCTTACGCTTTAAACCATATGTCCCAGTTCCTGTTCCCGAACATTGGAATGCCACCAAACTAAGAACAAACACCACAGGCTTGGTGGGCCCTTTAGTCTCAAATCTAGAAATAACACATACACCAAATCTCACGTGTGTAAAGTTTAGCACAACCATTGATGCAGCTGCCTTCCAGTGCAAAACATGAATTACCCTACCTCCACGACTCTCTTGCTTACCATCAGGAATCTTTTTTTTTGTGGTTCCTCAGCTTACCGCTGCTTAAACGGTTTCTTCAAAAGTCTATGCTTTCTCTCCTTTTTGGAGCCCCCTATGACTATCTATACTGATCAGGAGTTACAGAATTTTCTTCTACCCAAATCTTCTACAAATGGGCACAAGTTCTGCCATTCATTATCAGGGCTGGGATACTAGGAGGACTAGGAACCAGCATTGGAGGCATTACCACCTCCCCCCCAGTTCTATTACAAATTATCACAAGAGTTAAATGATGATATGGAATGAGTCGCAGATTTGCTGGTCACCTTACAAAGCCAGCTTAACTCTTTAGCAGCAGTAACCCTTCAAAATCGGAGAGCATTAGATTTATTAACAGCCGAAAGAAGTGGAACTTATCTTTTTCTAGGAGAAAATGCTGCTATTTCGTTAATCAATTCGAAATTGTCACTGGGAAAGTTAAGGAGCTTTGAGACCGGATACAGCGCTGGGCACAAGAGCTCCAAGACACAGGATCTTGGAGTATTGTCAACCAATGGATGTCCTGGCTTCTCCCCTTCTTGGGACCCTTGGTGGCTATTGCGATGTTGCTTATCTTTGGACCCTGCATTTTTAACCTTCCTGTAAAAATTGTCTCTTCCAGAATAGAATCCATAAAACTGCAAATGGTTCTATAAATGGAGCCCCAAATAGCCACCACTAGCATCTACTATCGAGGACCCTTAGACCGACCTGCCAACCTGTTCTCGCACCACAAAACTGAAGACTCCCTTCCCGAGGAAACCTCAACTACAGAGCCCCTTCTACGCCCCAGCAGGAAATAGCTAGAACGATCTTTGCCCAACTTCCCAACAGCACTTGGCCTTTCCTGTTGAGAGAGGGGATGAGGGACTAAGTGGCTAAGTTGGCCAAAATGAGTCATAGCTGCAAGCTAAGGGATTGAAACTTCAACCAATGAAAGGGGACTTTCCCCTAAGCCAAAGTAAGGCATAGCTGCAAGCTAAGGGATTGAAACTTCAACCAATCAAAGGGGACTTTCCCCTAAGCCAAAATGAGTCACAGCTGCAAACTAAGGGATTGAAACTCCAACCAATCATATAGGGAGTTTATGCTCTAGCTGCAGCCTAATGTTTTTAACCAATCAGGCCTGCCAACACTAGCAGATAGAAAATAAGCTAATCCTATAGGACAGAAAAAGGAAAAGGGGAGGAGTCATAAGGGGATATAAGCATAAACATAACACACCCAAGCCAGAAATGGCAACCCCTTCTGGGTACCCTTCCACTGGGTGGAAGCTTTCCTTTCGCTTTCACTTTAATAAATCTTGCCGCCACACACACCCCCACACAAAAGACCCTCCACCAAGAAAAAGATTACAACTCACTGAATAGTCAGATGATTGTTAGCATTATTTAGCAATACAGTGTTTTAAGTTGTGCACATTTTTAAAAACATAATGCTATTGCATACTTAATAGACTACAGCATAGTATAAACATAACTTTTATACGTACTGGGAAACCAAAAAAAAAATTGTGTGACTTATTTTATTGTGATATGTTCTGTATCGTGTCGGTCTGCAATCAAACCCACAATATCTCAAGGTATGTCTGTATTTTTCTCTCTAAGTTCTGATATTCTGATAGCCTTTGGGTTTGTGTTGGTTATTTTGTTGTTATTGTTGTTAGTCTCCAGACCATAAGTGAAAATATATTGTGTAAAGGTACATTGTATCCTCAACTTTACAATTGTTTTAGGTGTTTTTTTTTTTAAGATTTTATCCTTTAATGTACATATAACCTGAATTATTAACATTTTAAAATGCAAGACTACTTCTAGAAGCTTCTTATAGCACTTTAAATAGTTTTCTGTTGATTAACATAGAGGCCATTAGTTGAGCTCTCTTTGGTGGAAACATTGCTAACACTGCATATTGGCATCAGAATCCACAATTCTTGAATATCTTACCACTGCCCACAATTTGGCACTTGGAGTTGAGTAAAGTAAATTACTTTTTTACAGTTCATGATATTTTAAAATCATTTTCGATGCCTGGGATTTCAAAATTCATATAAAACTAAAGCATATGTCCTTTTAAAATCCTAGCAATCTGTCATTTAATTGACTTGCTTGTGCTTTTTTTAAGCAAATAATAAAAATGTCTAAAATGATTTGAAAGCTCTCTGTAGTATATCACATTCTTTTCTAACATTTAATGGACATGACTGTCTACATATTTTAGGACCTGGTATAATCTTTTAACTTTACTTTTTCTTTGCTTGTGTAATTAAAGGGTGGAGTTGGTACACAATTTAATAGTGTTCCTTTTTTCTCCTCAGAAATAACAAATTGGGTGACTAAACTTTTTAGCATAGTGTACATTGGTCTATAAAATACAACTACAAACCAAATTTTTATGATACTGTATACAAGATGATATGTGTTTTAGATGTAATCTAGATACCATAGCTGACTTGATGACGACATTACAGTTAGCTATCCCAGGCTCAAAATCATGAGTGAGCCTTCAGGAACGTGCCTGATAGAAAACAGCCCTTAAACATCCAAACTCTAAGAAAGAGAAGTTCACAGTAAGTTAGCAGTAAACACTCACATTCTCTAAGTCAGCCAAATACAAGAAGCATGAGCATAGAGCCTATGTCCAAACTGTTTTAGCTAACCATAAGATTCAGTGTAGTGTTTTGAGCCTGATAAACACTAAAATCATGATACGATAAAGTTCTTTCCTTCCATCATTTAACAAAATTCAATCCATCAAATGTACAGTGAATGTCCACTATATGTCAGGCTTATGCCAGGCATGAAGATAAGATGAATGACACAGATTCTGCCATCAAAGAGCTCACAATTTAGGGAAAGAGACAGGCACATAAAAAAATTAACTACAAATATGTGGCATGTAGTCTAAAAGAAGGAGATAAAAAATGTCATAGTTAGTTACCTAGCTAAGATAGCAATGGATTTTTATCATCAACGCTACTATCATCACAATCCATGCTCTATATTTAGAAATGAAGATCAAAATATTATAAAATTAGAATATAATTTTTTAGTTTTTCCAATGCTTATAATATAAAGGTCTACATGCATGTCCAAATACACCAGTGTGTGTATTACTTTATATGTCATTGAACACTGTCTCATGCACCTCTTGACTAAGTAATGCTATTTGTGGGGGTTATGGCTATGACAACTACAAGTTAAGTGACTAGGGAACCACTTAATATTCTAATTTCATAATGCCAAATGTCCCTTACTCTACCTGATGCACCATATCACAGAATACTTATCATGACAAATTGAGAAATTATGACTACTCTTCATTCTAGGTTTTACTTATGAGAATGGTACAAGAAATATTCACCTATATCTCCAGATATTACATTTCTACTGACTGAAGTTTTAAAAGTGCAAGTAATTAGCCTGGAGCAAGTTTGATTCCATTTTGACTAATAATTTTTCAGAGCTCAGTTTTGGATTTTTCATTATTTTACTCTTCTTTCAAGTTTACCATGTACCTTCCAACAGCAATCTGCTTCTGTACCTCCAAGTGATGAAATTTCATTGAGGATACTTTCACAGCCCGTCATTATCACTCAGGATTAGCTTGGAAGATTTTACAATGGGTGAAAAAATGTTCCTTCTCTCTCCCTGTCACCCTCCATTATAATTCTAACCACTGTAGAAAACTAAATTTCTCACTTTGATCAGGGAGGAGAAAACTTGGGGCTAGAGGCAGATTAAGAGTCCCATAAGCAGATTTAGAGCATCATAAGTGGGTGGTAAGGTAGTTAGCATTTAACAAACAGTAAATAGACGCCAGGCACTGTGGTCAGGTATGTGTATATTAATAGAATGCATCACTAAAAAAATCTTGTGAGGTTAGAATTTTTGTCTATATTTTAGTAGAAGATGCAAATTGAATCTTAGAAAGTCATTGAGCTATTAAATGGCAATATGGGATTCAAATCCAATGGAAGCCTGAATGAATAGCAAGTGCAAAATTGAGGGACGTGGGGTATGACATCATCAGAGATTTGGCTGAAAATCTTGGCAAGTACAGTGGTAAAGTAAGAAACTGAATTCAAGTAGGTAGAAGTTGGGGAGGGAAGGCACACAGTTCCCACAGTCCTCTATCTAGCTCTCTGACTCTTCTTTAAAATTGGATTCATGAGGTTGGTAAGTTAAAGTAGTCAGGGATAACAAGGGAACAATGATGGTTCAGTGTTCTAATGGGTTGGGAATTGGGGATTATGCTTACACAATGTAGAATTAGGAAGACATTTATTAGCTTGAAAAAGAACATCTGTTCATTGAAAACTATTATGAAAACCCTTATGGCTGGCTGGTGTCAATGCTGCAGTGGGTAACCAAAGCGGGAATTTCAAATGTGTAAGGAATGATCATGCACACCAAGATCTCACAGAAATGGGGTGGCCTTGATACATTGGATTGGGAACAAAAGGTTGGGTTCTTTATTAACAATTTGCATCACAGACTTTCTAGTGGCCTTATGCAAATCATTCAAACCCCAAAGTACAGTTAATAATATATCACTTAATGATGGAGGGCTCCATTCTGAGAACAGTGTTGTTAAGAATTTCGTTGTTGGGTGAACATTATAGAGCTCATGTACACAAACATAGATGATAGCGCCTACTACAAATGTAGGCTATATGGAATAGGCTATTGTTTCTAGGGGCTGTCCTGAATACTGTAGGCAACTGTAACATAATGATAAGTATTTGTGTATCTAAACATATTTCCACACAGAAAAAGTAACATGTTGCATCATGACATTATGACAGCAATGACATCACTATGCCATAGGAATTTTTAGCTCCACTATAATATCATGGGACCACTATCATATATGCAGTATGCTGTTGACCAAAATGTCATTATGTAGCATATGACTGTGCCGTGTCCTTATCTGTACAATAGAAAAATTATTCCTACCACTAATACCTCATTGAGAAGTTGATTTTTCAAAAAAAATAATTGTTTTAGGAGATATTAATATGAAAGAAAGCTTTCATTTGTAAGCCTTTTGTAGGGTCAATAATTAGTTGAAAGTATATTCCAATGGCTAATGTTTGTAACAATTTGGCTAGTCTGTGGTGATTGGCTGGTCAAACACTAATCTAGCTATTACTGTAAAAGAAATTTTAAAGAAGTTATTAACATTTACAATAAGTTGCTTTAAGTAAAGCAAATGCCTTTTCCTAACGTGCATGGGCCTCATCCAATCAGCTGAAAGCCTTAAGAGCAAAAACTGAGGTTTCCTGAAGAAGAAAGAATTCTGCTTCTAGGCAGCCTGAGTTTCTTGCCTTTGGATTCAAGACTGCAACATCAACTTTTACTTCAATTTCCACCCTGTAGCTAGCTGTGTGGATTTCAGACTTCCCAGCACTCACAATCTTGTGAGCCAATTCCTTAAAGTAAATCTCTAGATAGAATGATAGACAGATAGATATAGATAGATGATAGATGCTAGATATAGATAGATAGATAGATAGATAGATAGATAGATAGATAGATAGATAGATGATAGATTGACAGATGGATAGAGATCTAAAGCTCTCCTGTTCATATTATCTCTTTTATTTTGAGTTCTTTGCAGATAGGTATTTTTAACCCCCAGTGCTCTAAAACTGTTAATATCTTTCCCCCGTGATTTTAAGAGTTTTACTTACGACATTTGTTTATTTCAGTGATTGGCAATTGTTAGGATTATACCTCATTCAAAAGACAGTAAATAAGAATATGTAGATCAAAATGGAACATCAATATTTATCACCCATGAATTAATCAAAATTGAAATTCACAGAAACTTATTAAAATATCGAATACTTTATCAATTAGATAGGGGAAAGATTGAAAATTTAGTAGTGTGTTAGAAGATAATATGCAAATGATGAATAAATTTCTTTTTGGCAAGTAAAATATTCCATAACATTTTTAAATAAAAAGCAATTTTCATTTTTTATTGAATAATGCCTCATATCTAACTGAAGATTTAAATTACTGATGTCTCAAATGCACCAGCAAGCCTTTTCTTCACTCAAATATTTACATCAACTTGATCAACTTTACTTTCAGCTCCATTCTTCTTTGATTTGGCATATGAAAGGAAAACATCATTTTATTTGAGTTAAATAAGAACTGATTTCTTTTTCTTCAATTCTCTAGAATTGAAAAGCTATGAAATGAGGTTTATTTGGGCTTAAGTTATTCATTCATTCATTCACTTCAAAGTTAATATTAAGCATCTACTACATAGATTGAATCAGAGGATTTTCAACACCAAGGATGGGATGAAAGTTTCTAAGCCTTGGTCACTGCCCTACATGTGCTATCACCTCCATGAGGAGACAAAGCACACATACACTCTGATAATGAGGGAAGCTACATTTAACTAAATGCCATGGTAAGTGCTACAGTAACTCAGAGAAAAAAATTAACGTGTGATTGATGTGAGAAAGAGAAAAGTAACCTCTCACACCCAGGAGCTGGCCTGGCAGGATCACTCAGGAGTTGGTGGTGGTACTTGCTATCTTGGCCTTCACAGCCAGATGATGGGGTTCTTCTGCTAAGCATAAACAATTTCATAGAACATTAACATCAGACAAGGCCACTTCAGGGCCTCATCAAGATGAAAGCAAGACCATTCTGTAAGCATGTCTAAACACAGACAAAACGTGAACTCTGTCCAAGCTGCAAAATGGCCATACATTCCCCCATCCTGGCCACTGAGGGTGACTCTTGCTTCCCCTGCCCCCATTTTGCATTTGCAATTTATTTACTGAAGGAGCTGGGATATTTGTCCTGTAGAGTTTCCCATTCTAGTTACCCTGTAAAGCAGGGTTCTCTAATCTTTTGGCTTCCCTGGGTCACATTGGAGGAAGAATAATTGTCTTGGGCCACACATAAAATATACTAACACTAACGATACCTGATGAGCTAAAAAATAAATAGCAAAAAAAACCTTATAGTATTTTTTAAAAGTTTAGGAATTTGCATTGGGCTGCATTCAAAGCTATCCTGAGCCTCATGCAGCCCACAAGCCATGTGCTGGACAAGCTTGCTAAAAAAGAGTGACTGCTGCTGCTTTATCAATCACAGTGCTAGCTTTGATCTAGTTTTTCCTCCTCCTAGATAAAATTTATTAATATACTCAATCATCCACCCAAATCTTGTAAGTCTTTTCTAACACCTTCACTGAGACACTCCATAACTTACCTCACTGCTAGAGTAACTAACCTGAATTGTTAGTAAACAATAATTAGCTTAACAATGAAGGTAAGACACTACAGGCATGTTGTGTCTCAGGAAATAGGGAGGTCCAGGGAGAGAGACAGATATGGGGAAACTGCTAGTCTGTGGAGCAGTCAGGACACACATATTTATCAATTAAGTGCACTGTATTTTATGGATGTGGTTTATGGTACCCCAAAACAAGTACAATAGTAACATCAAAGATCATTTATCATAAATTACCATAACAGATATAACAATAATGAAAAAGTTTGGAATATTGAGAATTACCAAAATGTGACATAAAGGCATGAAGTGAGCACATGCTGTTGGAAAAATGGTGCTGATGGACTTGCTTGACACAGGGTTGCTATAAACCTTCAATTTGTAAAAAATGCAATAGCTGCAAAGCTCAGTAAAATGAGATATGCCTGTGTAATATCAAATATAGTCTTTCATAACAGTTTAAAAATTTTCAACTACTACCAGACTTTAGTTTTTAAAATAAGATTTACCAGAGTTAGAGTCACATAAATCATGGATTATAAGGATAAAGGTGAATAAAAGAGAATTTCAGATATCACTGTGTTGTCTTGAGTCATTGTTGCAGAAACATATTATTGTTTCAATACAAACCAGCCTCTCAATATGTGTCTCTCTGATTTCCCTCCCTCCAAGTTTAGACTGAAAGCTCTAGAAGGACAATAATTGTTGTCTACATTTTTTCCCCAAATCTCCCAGGTTGTTTTAGTATATCCTTAGAGCTATTTGCCTAACTGAACTGTAGGCAGAGCAAACTTCCATAGTTTTGATTTAAAAAGGCCTTTATCCACAAATCAACACCTTTAGTCTCATCCACACATTGAAATTGGGTTGCATCAGTTATGTTACATTTGTAGGTGAAGGACAATAATAAAACAGAGAGTCCTTAAAACTATTTGTGGTATGTGTGAAAAAAGGTGATTCTCTTGTCCATCAAAATATTGGTTTTCATTCATTCTTCTTTATTTACTGAACCTTTATGTAGCATAGAAAGTCCTGTATTTTCTGGAATAAGATCTTCAACACGAGATAGATGTTTTTTAGTTGCTCATATATTCACTCATTTCATTTGCATAAAACAAAGTCACAATTAAATGGAAAGACATCTTAGGTTCACAGACTGGAAGACAATATTGTTAAAATGTCAGTCATACACAAAGCCATCTATAGGTTCAGTGTAATCCCTACCAAAACCTCAATGACTTTTTTTTAAATAGAAGAACCCATCCTAAAATTCATATGGAATCTCAAGGGACCCCAAATAGCCAAAACAATCTTCAAAAAGAGCAAAGCTGAAAATCTCACATTTTCTGATTTCATAACTTACCACAAAGCCACAGCAATGAAAACCTTGTGGAACTGGCATAAAGATGGACATATAAATCAATGGAATAAAATATAGAGCTCAGAAATAAACCCTCACATTACAGGTTCAAATAATTTTTGACAAGGTTGCTAAGCTCATTCAATGGGTAAAGAATCTTTCAAAAATGATGGTGTGAAAACTGTATATTCACATGCAAAAGAATGAAGTTGGGTCTATTACTTATACCTACACAAAAAGTAACCGAAAATGAATTCAAAACCTAAAACGGCCAGGTGCAGTGGCTCACGCCTGTAATCCCAGCACTTTGGGAGGCCGAGGCGGGTGGATCACGAGGTCAGGAGATCGAGACCATCCTGGCTAACACGGTGAAACCCCGTCTCTACTAAAAATACAAAAAATTAGCCGGGCGTGGTGGCAGGCTCCTGTAGTCCTAACTTCTCGGGAGGCTGAGACTGGAGAATGGCCAGAAACCCGGGAGGCGGAGCTTACAGTGAGCCGGGATTGTGCCACTGCACTCCAGCCTGGGCGACAGAGGAAGACTCCGTCTCAATAAAAAAAAAAAAAACCTAACACAAGAGCTGAAACTATAACACTCTTAGAAGAAAACATAGGTGAAAAGTTTATGACATTGGATTTGTCAATGCTTTACTTCATATATCAAAAGCATAACAACCAAAAAAAATTGAACTTTGAACTTCATTAAAATAAACAAAAATTGTGCATCAAAGGACCACTATTAACAGTGAAAAGGCAATCCACAGAATGGAAGAAAATATTTGCAAATCATATGTGGGATAAGAGATGAATATTCAGAATATGTAAAGAGGTACAACTCAACAATAACAAAATAATTAAAAGTGAACATATGATTTGAATGGACATTTCTCTAAACAAGATGTACAGACCAATAAACGTATGAAAAGATGTTTAACACCACTAATCATTAGAAATATGCAAATTATAACCACAATGAGATACTACTTCAAACCCATTAGCATGGTTATTATTTTAAAAAAACCAACAAACAGAAAATAACGTCTTGGTGAGGATGTGGAGAAATTGGAACCCGTGTGTACTGTTGGTGGGAATGTAAAATGGTGTGGCTACACTGCAAAACATTATGGAAGTTTCTAAAATAATGAAACATAGAATTATTGTAAAGATCCAGCAATTCCACTTTTGGGTATGTATCCAAAATAACTGAAAGCAGGAACTTGAGCAGATATTTGTATACTCATGATCATAGTAACATTACTCACAATATCCAAAATGTAGAAACAATCTAAATGTCTATTAACACACGAATGGATAAACAAAATGTGATATATATTATATATTTTTAATATATAATATATTTAATTGTGACTTTGTTTTTATGCAAATGAAATAAGTGAATTCATGAGCCACTAAAAAACATCTGTCTCATGTTGAAGATCTTATTCCAGAAAACACAGGACTTGCTATGCTACATAAAGGTTCAGTAAATAAATATATGTATATACATATATCACATTGAAGTATCATTTGACCTTAAAAAGGAATAAAATTTTTACATGTGCTATAACATGGACAAACCTTGAAACACTGCCTAATTAAAAGAAGCCAGACACAAAAGGACAGATATTGTATGATTCCACTGATATGAAGTAGCTAGACTAGCCAAATTCATACAGACAGAAAGTAGGATGGTGGTTGCCAGGGCCTACAGGAGAGGAGAATGTAAGTTATTGTTTTAATGGATAGAAAGTTTCAGTTTGGGAAGATGAAAGAAGTTCTGGAGATGGATGGTGGTAATGGTCATACAACATGATTTTACTCAATGCCACTGAACTGCATGCATATTACAAAAATGATAAATTTTACATATGTTTTGCCACAATTAAACAAACAAGCAAACCATAAATAGCCTAATACCTATTAAATTAGCCTAGTCAACAGACTAATGTAAAGATTTTGAATCCCATAGAATTCCTCAGAATAAAAAGGTTTCACAATAGCAGGTGAAAAGGCAAGTCTTATTCAGACTCTACTTCATATCAGTGAAGAAGGATGTGTAATCACTGATAACAGCATTTTACAGGTTTGGCTTGAAATACTAGAATTGTCAATTTACACACAAAAACCACATTCTACTGTATATACTGTAATGCTGCTGAAGAAAACAGAAATCAAGAGGAGCTTATCATTTTCCTTCTTATTTTAATTGCATGCAATTTTCAGAGCTCTCACACATTCCCACAAGAAATGGCTTTTGAATTTATGGATTTATATCTATACTCTTCTTGCACGTTAAAGAAAACAATCAAAACTGTTGCTATCTGAGGAGTAAAAATGACGGAGGCCACTGATAGAGGCAGGAGGCAGACAAATGCCGAGGCAGGAGGCAGACAAATGCCTAGGCAGACAAGGAAGCATCCCTGGAGAATCTTCGAGCCACCCCACAAGTGTTTACACCAGACATTTTTTTGTAGACAAAGGAACCTGCATGGGGTCTTGCCTGGGTAGGCCTGCAAGGGACTGGAGGCCCATGTGCACTGGAGGAATGGAGTGAAGCCACCAGGAATTAGTGCCTTATGCAGCGTAGGAGCCTGGCCTCTTTAGCTTGTGTGGGGTGGCCTGGTATTCAATTTGTGAGGTGGAAATCTGCATGCAGGACCCCTCTCTTTGCTGAGAGCTTTCCTTTCATTTAGTAAATTCTGCCCTTCTCATCCTTCATTGTGTCTGCTTGCTTAATTTTTCCTGGTCATGAGACAAGAACCAGGATGTAGCTGAACTCAGGAGCAAAAGTTCCTGCATTACCACTGGGAGAGTTCTTTTCAAGGAAAGGAAGCTGGTTCTTATTAAAGGGTAAGCTGTGCATACAACCCAGAATGCAGCTGGAAATCTTTGGGTTCTACTCATCTCCAACTGTTAATACTGTGAACAAATGAGAATCTAAAAGTGCCAGTTTTTCAAGATGGATCCCAAGTGGCGAACTGAGGCTAAATTCTAAATAGAGCCAAGTTGGCATTTGCTGAGTAGAGGTCACACATATATTCTGTGTGGGGAAAAGCAAGAGAGATCAGATTGTTACTGTGTCTGTGTAGAAAGAAGTAGACATAGAAGACTCCATTTTGTTCTGTACTAAGACAAATTCTTCTGCCTTGAGATTCTATTAATCTATGACCTTACCCCCAACC
This sequence comes from Homo sapiens, assembly GCF_000001405.40. Lineage (NCBI taxonomy): Eukaryota > Metazoa > Chordata > Mammalia > Primates > Hominidae > Homo > Homo sapiens. The sequence continues at coordinate 38,118,238 of NC_000014.9, forward strand.
CCGTGCTCTCTGAAACATGTGCTGTGTCAAACTCAGGGCTAATTGGATGAAGGGTTGTGCAAGATGTGCTTTGTTAAACAGATGCTTGAAGGCAGCATGCTCCTTAAGAGTCATCACCACTCCCTAATCTCAAGTACCCAGGGACACAAACACTGCAGAAGGCCGCAGGGACCTCTGCCTAGGAAAGCCAGGTATTGTCCAAGGTTTCTCCCCATATGATAGTTTGAAATATGGCCTCGTGGGAAGGGAAAGACCTGACCGTCCCCCAGCCCGACACCCATAAAGGGTCTGTGCTGAGGAGGATTAGTATAAGAGGAAGGCATGCCTCTTGCAGTTGAGACAAGAGGAAGGCATCTGTCTCCTGCCCGTCCCTGGGCAATGGAATGTCTCGGTATAAAACCCGATTGTACGTTCCATCTACTGAGATAGGGAAAAACCGCCTTAGGGCTGGAGGTGGGACATGCGGGCAGCAACACTGCTTTGTAAAGCATTGAGATGTTTATGTGTATGCATATCTAAAAGCACAGCACTTGATTCTTTACCTTGTCTATGATGCAAAGACCTTTGTTCACGTGTTTGTCGGCTGACCCTCTCCCCACTATTGTCTTGTGACCCTGACACATCCCCCTCTCGGAGAAACACCCACAAATGATCAGTAAATACTAAGGGAACTCAGAGGCTGGCGGGATCCTCCATATGCTGAACGCTGGTTCCCTGGGTCCCCTTATTTCTTTATCTATACTTTGTCTCTGTGTCTTTTTCTTTTCCAAGTCTCTCGTTCCACCTAACGAGAAACACCCACAGGTGTGGAGGGGCAACCCACCCCTTCATTCTGAGTTCCCCAAAAACCCACAGCTCTCTTTAGGGCTTTCAGAGCTTACCTGAACCAACTAATCAGAGCTCAGCTGTGTGAACCAATCACTACTCAGCTAAGTCAACCAACAGGAACTAAGCAATTTTGAATCCTTCATTTGCATAAATGGACCTGATTGGGAACCTGGGTAAGAACTTTTGATGTAAAACTTAACCCTCCTTTTGTTCTCTGGAACACACCTTCATTTTACCCTAAAGACAGTATCTCCCTGGTTTGCTCACTGTTCACTGGAGTAAAATCTCTTTCCTCCAAATGTCTTTTCAGAGAAATTTTTTCACAATACCATGGTAGATTCTTAGTGTCCAATTTACTTACCCATGAACTCAGAGGTGACTTAAGCAGAAGAGAATACTTGTGTAGTACATGTTAGAAAATTAAGTCTTAATAAAGCTTTGTGATGGTGCCCATTTCTGCAGATGTGTAAAAGCAATTATAGAAAACAGTCTGTTGGCACAAATGGCTTTTCTTAGCAACTCAGCATCAAACTGGATGGCAAAAACAAACTTTATCTGAAATGAAGGCAGGAACAAGCTTTTGCTAAGGAAAGGAATTGGGACTCTATTTCAGTTGACCAAACCACCATGACTCTATAGGCCAATCCAAGTCATCCTCTTACCACTTGCAATATGTCTGATGCTACTTTCAGGAGAATAAACCAAAGAAAACGCAAATTAAATTAATTTTCTAAATTTTTGACTTTTATTTTAAATGCTGTATAATTTTATGTGGGTGTATATTTATTTTGTTCTTCCTCTATGTTATTCCTAGTTACCTAGTAATTTTTTGATTAAGTTATGTGGGTAGGAAAGATACCCCCCAAAAAGCTATTTGCAATGTAGATAGTACCTGTGTGTGGTATTGTGGAGTCGAAGGGGAGACATTAGCGTTATACAAATCCTTTATTAAAATTGTTTTCGGGAGGGGAGTTTTGCTTTTAAAAGCAATAATGAGTCCTGAAAACCCTCAGATCCTGAGGAAAAAATACTATAATTTTGAGAGTATTCTTTATTTTCTGGAAAGAAATTTGCAACATAAATTACCATCTATCATTTAGAATAGTGGTTTTCATTGTTTCTTATTGTCATAGAATTTAGGAGGCTTAAAAAATACTGGGTATCCTAGGCCCAACCTAAATGTGAATCAGCATCTACAGGCCCCTGACGCTCGGTTTAAATAGTTTCCCTAATGATTCTGATGCACACCAAAGCACAAAACCACAGACTGAGGGTGTCTTTGACACTCTGAAACACAGGCAATTTGCATTGCTGTGCAATTTTTTTAGTCTAAAGTTGGGTGGAATTTATCTGGTCCTAATTTCTTCTATTGACATCAGTTAGTGTTACCTATAGTGACCAAAGTTCATGAATACATAAAAATGACAAGGGAGCTGTTGAAACTACCTAAAGAAATTACAAAGCATATTTGTAATTAGAAGTTGTGGACCACTCTGTAACTAAGTAATGAGAACAAAGAAACAGATATAACTATTTATCTGCAAGGGTACCAGAGAAATACACTACAGTATATGCTAAATAGAGAACCTTCCACACACAATTTCCACATGCAGATACTAGGGGCTCTTTGAGGAGCCCAAGTAAAGAGGGAACCTCTTTGTCAAGCATATTTTCTTTAAAGAGGGTGAAAATTTCTGGCAATAACTAAACTATTGACCTTCCTGAGATTAATTAGGCCTTTTGAGGTAACTGGAAGATATAGGATCTAAACTTTGTCATGTGCTATCCATCAGGAAGACATAGCTTTTTCTTTAGACTACCAGCTCTACGTGAACACATATGAAATTAATTCTGCTTCCAATTTTATTCTCTCTATTCCCTTAAGTCTTATTCTTTAAGTAGTTACCAAGCTGACATGGTTATGTTTGGAACAATAGGCATCTTTACAATTACAGATTTATAATAGAGAGAGAAATAACATGTTAGCACACAAAACTCAACTCCTGGAAAAAGAACTAAGGCAAGCTTATTTCTCATTTTCCATGTAATGTCTATGACAGAGTCTTAGTGTAAAGAAAACCTAGAAAGTTTTTTGAGGAACAAAATTATTTTGCTTTTCCCAATGTTAAAAATTTCAAGATCAAAGCTATTGCATTCCTTTATTCTTGCTTTTCTAATTATCAAATATTTGCAAAATGCCAAATTTGGGTTTTTGTTTATCACAGGAGATTATTGCACAGTGCAAGGCTAATTCAGTGATCATGGTGCTTCTGCAGCAGCAGTGTTAGTTTTACAGTGATGAAGAAACTGCCCTCAACATTAATCCCTTCTTTCTTGCTTCAGTTAGTGTTTTGATTCGGTCTTTAATGAGTCTAGGTCTGACATTGGCAGAGTCAGCACATATTGCTTACTCCACCCAACAGAGCAGATTAGGACTATAAATCTCGTGGAATAAACTGCTTGCAAGCATCCTTTGTTTAGATATTTGTTCTGTTGTAACTACAGATGAGCATGCATTCTGGTTCCTTTATGCTCTGGGGAAATCGCATGTGTCTTTGAGAGGCATTGTCACTCTGAATTAACATTCACTTCCTAGTAAGGCTTTTTTCCCCCCAGATTTTAATAAATTCCTCAACTCATTATTAGAGAAATTAATTAATATGGTGAAGTCAGATGGAAAGTGTCACCCTTAGCCTCCACACTTTCTATCTAATAAAAATCAAGTAAACAGGAAGCTAGAAATCCAGAGTGGTTTCCTAATATGACTGGTTTCTTCGATAAAGTTGATGTTATGTTAATATGGGATCTAACTGTTCTGCTACTAACAGATTAGGCACTTAAGTACAGATTATTATAAATTTCTTTTTTTGCAGTGCATTATTTTATACACATGAAGTGTAATGTTTTTATTGGTCTATTTTATATTATGTTAATCTAGTTCCTTAAAAAATACTTTTTCTTATACTTTCATTTTGTAATTTCATTCTCAATTTCAAATACTCTATCTTTGTGTGTGTGTGTGTGTGTGTGTGTGTGTCAGTGTTTGGCTTTGACTTCCAGAATTAGTGAAGACATATTTTTTCCAATTTAGGAATACTATCAGAGTCAACACTTTATCTAACATTAAAAGTGAAGTTCAAGCTGAACACAGTGGCTCATGCCTATAATTCCAGCACTTTGGGAGGTTGAGGCAGGAGGATTCCTCAAACTCTGAGCCCAGGAGTTCAAGACGAGCCTGGGTAACATGGCAAGACCCCATCTCTACAAAAAATAAAAATAATTAGCTGGGCATGGTGGCACGCAAATATGGTCTCAGCTACTTAGGAGGCTGAGGTGGCCGGATAGTTTGAGCCCAGGTGGTTGAGGCTGCAGTGAGTCATGATCCTGCACTGGATTCCAATCTGGGTGACAGAGCAAGATCCTGTCTCAAAAAAAAAAAAAAAAAGCGAAGTTCAAATATATGTAGTTCTTAAAAACTTAGCTCAATCAAATGGTAAGTAAGCAGCAACAGTATCCTAAATGTACTAAACAGGATATATGTTTGACAATACAATAAACGCTCCATAAATGTTTTTGACATTATTATTATGTATAACATGGGTTACTTAGTCCTTGACCCCAAATTTTACTCAGCTTCAATTTTATTTCAAACTTGGAAACTTCACCATCATCCATAAAGTTAGGCTGAATCTTCTGTCTCCAGATATAAGTGAATAGGCACAGACCTAGGCATAAGCCAAATAAAAACACTACATGTACAGGGTTGAGAATCATTACAATCTCAGTTTTACAGTCTAGAAAAGTACGTGTTGAGGCAGATACGCAGAGACACACTCCTGGTGGAGCTCAGATCTTTACTGCTTAGACCAGGGTTTTTCACAACGTATTCCCTACTCCGGTGGTTCCAATGTTTCATGGAACATTAAAGAATGTGTATTTGGGAAACCAGACTAAAACTGAGAAGTTTTTCTTTTCCAAGTAAGTTCATTAGAAAATGTTGTCCACCATCTGCTGTCACCTTGTTTCACTGAAGCAAGTCAATTTAATGCTGAAAACATAGGACATAATCTCAAAATAAATGACAGTTCTTGAATTGAATAAATTTAGTGCTATGAAAAACAAATTGCACTGCTCTTACTCTTCCCATTCTCCTGGGGATGGTACTGCTTTTCTGTCCTAAGCTCTGAGATTCAATGTAGTTTTAAAAAGAATATAGTATTTGAAATCATACTGTCCTCAGGTTGAATCTTTGTTCTTCCATGACCCAGTGCAAATCAACTTAACTATTCTGAACTTCTGCTTCTTTGCTTCTATAAAAAAAAAAAAAAAAAGAAATACCGTAATAAAATCTAGCTGTCAGTTAAGTTGTGCTGAGTAAAATAGAATATTTAAAATACCTGGAACTTTGGCATGAACAAATAAAGCCTAGAAAACTAAACAACATTGCTTGTCTTTGCAAAGAGAATAAAAAAGAATGTGAAAACTACAAATAACCGAAATTCCATTAATGGAAGAACACGTGTGTAAATTTTGATATACTCAAACTATGGAAAATCATGTAGCTATTCAAAAAATAAACTGGATTTATATATATTGACCCACAAAGATCTCGATGATTTAGTTTTCAGTGGAAAAAGCAAGTTGCAAAGTAATATGTATAATATAATCTTATTTTGAAAAGGTATTAAAACAAAACCATGTGCATACGTTTATGTTTGGAGTATTTGCATAAGCAAGAGAAAAATTTGAGAAAAATATATTCACCCACTACCAACTTCAGCCATTCACGCAAGTTCCACCTTCTCACAATGATGTTTTCTGATGGCATCAGTCAAAACTGTTCATGTGCACACATCCCTGTCCTATCACCTTCTATCCGCTTCCCAGTTCGATTTTTCTCCAGAGCTCTTATCATTTCTGATATAATATTTATACTTACTCGGTTTGTAATGATCTGTCTTTCCTCACTAAAAAGTAAGCTCCAGAAAAGCAGATGTTTTGTCTGTTTTGTTCCCTGCTACGGGCCTGGCAAACAGTGAAGAGTCAGTATGTAACACAATTGTATTGAGTCAATACATAACACAATTGTTGAGGCTGTTGGTCTTAGAAGAGGGCAGTGGTGGTGGAGAGGGGATAGGCATTTAGTTGACTTTATTTTATACACCCGGCTGTGTTTACATTATGTGAGATGTACAAATTGCTTTTGAAATCTAGGAGAACAATATAGCAATGTATTAAAAAGCAAAACACATAGTATACTTCCTGGCATTATGTGACACTCAATAAATGATCTTTCTTTCTTCTCTCTCAAGCTCCTCCTAATTTCCTCAACTCTGTAACTTATGTTTTCCCCTCTGTGGTCAGAAAAGAATTTTCTGTCTTTTACAATTTACTGTAAATTTAAAATGACCTTTTACCATTCTCAAGGTTGTTGGCATTTAATTGTATAACAAATTTGTTTTGTTTTCCTCTGGCAAAGAAAGTAGAAAGCAAGGACAAAACGGGTCTCCGGGGGTAGGCTGGGGAGTAAATCTGGTTTACACGGTCACAAAGTGATAAGGGATAAAAATAGTGAGGCAATAAGGAGGAGGAGAAGGAAGAGGAGGAGTCTGTTGTGGGCTAGAGAAAGCAGATAACAGGGGCTAGGCCTTATATCAGTAGAGAGAGTCTGGACATTCAAGATAGGTTATTACTAGGAGGAAGGAGGCTGATGTGGAGAAATGGGAAGAATGATGAGTGTCTGATGCCTATCCTTAAGACCTCCTGGTTATCACAGAATTATGGTCTTTCAGATCTAAAAAGGCCCATAATATCACCTACTCTACTGCCTTCAATTTACAGATAAGGGAATTGAGGCCTCATGAGTTGAGCCTCCTAGTTCTTGCTCAGACATTTCAAAAATGGTTATACTTGTGGAGGGTACGGTTCATTATCTCCTCTTCCAAGGGAATAGGTATATGATTTTTCAGAGCTTGGGGTAATGCTCAGTTCTAAGCTCCTGGGATGCTAAGGAAGTAGCCACTCTTATGGGAGAGTTACTATTTGAATTGAGAGGTGTATTAGATCCCACAGGATCCCACAGGATTCCACAGGATGTCATATCAGAAGGCAAGGCTTATGGATCTGAACCTCTAGTCAAGGGGTCAGTAGGAAATCAGCTCAGGGTGGCATGAAAAGAACTTCCACAAGTCTCCACTTCCTTATCCACTTCCTAAGATTATCTTGCCACTGAATCCCATTAACAACTGGGATATCTTACCAACATAAACTTTTGGAGCTTTTTTTGCTCTATTTAGAGATTGTTTGTGTTTCTTTGTAGGTTATATGAATGTTGGGCTGAAGAGAACAGGTAGCTTAAAAATTATGTTCTCTAAACCTTCACCACCAAGCTGAAAAGGAAATGAATGTCAAGATCAGCTGCATAGGATAATAAATTTGATTAGCAGAAAACGCTCATGGTTGAGAACACTGGGACAGGAAGCAGCAATATACTGTGACTGGTGAGGCAAAGCTGAATGTCAGCGCTTAATTGCAAGGCAGGAGGCCATTATCCATTGGCAGCAATTCCCCCGGTGACTTTGTTTGTTTTATAACAAATTATTAAAGCGGTGGGAGAGCAGCATGCTAGGTAGCAACAGGCTGCCTCTGACAGGAGCTGTCTCCTGCTTCCGGGTACTGCAGCTTCATGGCGCCAGCCTTTGCAGGCTGTGGAGCCTGAGTGAGATGCAGAACATGTAAGGGGCCTACGCCCAGTGTTTGGCACCTCTAGGATTCTACTCACAGACGTCTGGACGTCTGAGGATAGGGCTTGGACTGACAGGTTTATTACTTTGCCAGCAACTAGCTGTGAGATCCGGTGCAAATTCAGCTGACTGAACCTACTGAACAGCCATGAGAATGAGCCTCGAAGACCTCCTCCCTCAGGGAGAGTGATTCAATCAAGGTCCCAGCTACTGAAATCTATCACCCAGATACTGAAGCAGACCTATTCCTGGGAGACAAGGAACATTTGGTCTGCAACCTTGGTTCAAGGACTCCTTGGTCTACTGTTCTTAGCTCAAGGACTCCCTGGCAACATTGCAGAACCTTCCTTAGAGTACAGAATATTAGAGGGTATATTTTCTTTCTCCTCTTTATCCAGGAGCAAACTTGACTGTGGTCTGATGGCTTTCCAACTCCCTTCCTATTTCCTTTAACACAGGCATCTTCCCTAACAAGATTCTTGCAGTTTTAATCCCAACTAGATGTCTGTTTCTTGAAACATTCAGACTTACACAGCTCATTTTTCTCATTTATAAAATAGGAAATATTCCTTCATGCTTTCCTTGCAGAGGCATTATAAAGATTAAATGCGACAATGTATGAGGGATGCCTAAAACAATGCCTGGAAAATAGCAGGTGATGATAAAATAGCAGCTTTTCCCTATTGTTGTTCTATTGCACTACATGAGGGTTGAGCCACAGCCCAGAAATTGATCAGAACCTGTGTTCCCAGAAGGTGTAAGAGCTGAGGCAATGCAGAGGGCATGTTTTCCCATCTACCTCATGGGGTATGACATATCTAGAAGTTTAATATATAGCTAACACATTTCTAGTATTCTGGGAAGTTTGGGGTTTTTTTCAGGGTTATATAGAAATATCTAAGATCAAAATCTCTTTTTTGTGAAAGATGAAGAAGGGACGAATTCTCTGGTTCTTTGAACCCTTGAATTCCAGTGAAAACATCACCCCTCCTGATGATACTTGGATTTAAAGTCATATTTCTACTTGCCAAATGACACATTGTATTTTCCCTGTCAATGCAATCAGTAAGCAAGTGGAGAAAATGGAAGGAGGGGGCTTTTCTATGCGTGAACTGAGTGCATGGCAGTGTAATCCACCATCCAAGTGATTATTCTACTAGCAAGTAATGCAGAACAGCCACTCACAGCCTGGCACGGGGGTGGGAATCTTGTTTTTATCAAATTTACTCCGGACACCTGGGAGCTGTAGAAATCTGTATTTGGTTAAGGAAATGTAATCAAACTTAAAGGTGTGAGTTACCTCTGAAGCACAAATATATGATGAATATGTATCCAGGGACTACATTTTCCCATGCAAACAGACATTTTCAAAATGCCAACTGGCAATAAAAGGAATCAGGTGATAGTGACCAGCAGCATTAACATGAAAACAGGTATCAGGAACATTTTCAAAGTCATCTCTTCCTAGCAATTCTGAAGGAGAATGGATTTTCAAAAGGCCAGCTAAAGCTTCAGCGTAGTTATTCTCTTCAGTCTAAGCTAAAGGCTTTCTTCATTAATGTCTACTCTATATCCTCCTCCTTCAGCCATTCAGCTTTTCTTTACCTCAAGCTTACTGCTTCACAGACAGAATTTTCACTAGACAGTCCAAGTGTTTTTCAGATCTTTTTGGCTTTTGACTTTGGGCCAATCTCCATCTCTGTTTCTGCATGCACCTGCCCAGCAGGATGTTAAAATAGATGCTCTCAGCGCCCAGGTGGAGATGAGCTCTTTGCATAACTGTCCTAGAGCCAGATGGTCGGATGACTTAGCACTCAGTCTAAATGTGTCAGAGACTTTAAACCCAGTTATACATCTATTAGGAAGAGATTCACAGATGCTGTTTCTTTATATTAATTTTTCTACTAATTTGGCAGTTCCAAGTGGAACCTAACTATAATTTTTCAAAGGCAAGAGCTTTGGGTCACTGGTATGGAATGCTAGGGATCACAGGAGCCCTGGAAGGGAATTTGGTCCAGTTCCTGTGCTTAAAAGCAAGGTGAAGCTCAGAGCTGCCTGATTTCCTCACTGGTCATTTTCGTTGTCCTAGAATCTCATCTGCCAAGTTGCACAACTTCAGGGAGGACTTTCCACAAAGCTGTGTAATGCAGCCTGCCTTAGCACAACATGGAATCGAAGAATGTTAGAGCTGCCAGGGAGCTAACATCTGTTGGCCAAACCTGCCCAGTGCTCGGAAGTGGAAACCAATGGCCAATGAAGTAGGTGACTTACCCATATCTCACAGCTAGTTAAGAAGAATCCCTGAAGTGTTACAGGCTTGAAAAGGTGTTGCCAAGAATAAAGCCCATTGCTCCCAAGTATGGTAATCATGGTTCACCAGGCTGTCTTCCTATTGTCTTGCTTCAGAGAAATTAATTTTAGAGTCATTTTGGATCAATATTTAACTTAACCAATACTTAATTTAATGATATTTAATTTGATAATAATTCAGTCAATACTTAATTTTTGATTTTAAATATGGTAATATTTTACTTTGAGGAGGAGCAAAATATCTATGTTATTTTCCTCTCTTTTTTGTAGAATTTCTCATGGCAAAGATTTGTAATTAATTTATAGGCTAGAAAGAAGTATGATCCTCCTATGAGGAACACCTTTGTATTGCAAAGGTGACTGTTCACTGGGGAAGACATGCCCTTTAGTAAATTTTCACAACAAGAAACATTTCCCCTGGCTTTAAAACTTTCAGGTACAGTACCACTTGACACACAGAGTGGGGATTAGCTGGATTCGCTGGATTTAGCAATTCATTTTGTGTCTCAGGGCAGTTATCTGACTGTATCCTTGGAACTAGAGGACTCAAGAATATATTTCTAATAGTTTCTGGAAGCTCTGAAAATGTTTCATAATGTATATATGGGTGGATATATAGACATACTTAGCTAACACTTACTGAGTACTTTACTATGTACAAGACACTGACCTAATCACTTTACATTGTTTACTTCACCCTGGGAAGACAGGTATTATTATACCCACTTTATAGATGAAAAAACTGAGGCCTGTGAGAAGTTAAGTGACTAAGTTAAGGTTGCTTAGCTAGCTAGTGGCAGAACTGGGCTGCTGAGTTCTAAACCCATGTATTCAACCTAAATGATATACTGTGGGCCCTACCCTAAAGCCTAGAACTGTGGTGCAAAGTGAGAACTTTACATCCCTGTTTTCCCACTCAAATGTTGCCTTTTCCAAAACCACCTGGCCTACCCCGCCCCCCATCCTGTACCCAGGCTCCACAAGCTGAGAAGCAGCAGAGAAGGACAGAAGAGAATAAGCTGCCGAATGTCAGAGAGAAGCAGCAGCCAGATGTCAGAGAGAAGCAGCTTGACTTCAGAGGGATGGCTTGGTGGCAGGACCCCAGAGAAGAGTTTGGCTGGTCTATTAGTCTGTTTTCACACTGCTGATAAAGACATACTTGAGACCAGATAATTTATAAAGAAAAAGAGTTTTAATGGACTCACAGTTCCACATGGCTGAGGAGTCTCACAACCATGGAGGAAGGCAAAAGGCACGTCTTACATTGTGAAACAAGACAGAATAAGAACCAAGAGAAAGGGGTTGCCCCTTATAAAACCATTAGCTCTCGTGAGACTTATTCACTACTATGAGAACAGAATGGGTGAAACTGCCCCCATGATTCAATCATCTCCCACCAGGTCCCTCCCACAACTCATGGGAATTATGGGAGTTACAATTCAAAGTGAGATTTGGGTGAGGACACAGCTGCTGGGGATGGCCGAACTTCAGGGAAAGACCACCTTCCCCTCCATCCCCTTTCCAGCTCTCCATCCCTCTGAAAGCCACTTTCATTGGCAATAAAATCCCCCATATCTGTCATCTTCAATTCATTCATGTGACCTGATTCTTCCTGGATGCTGAACAAGAGCTTGGGATACAGAGGGCTGTCACACTGAGCTGTTTAACACTTAAGATGTTGGTGGATGGCAAAGCTAAAAGAGCACTGTAACACATGACCTCTGGGGCTCCCGGAGTCATGAGTACCCCTTCTAGACACAGCCGTGGGGCCACACAGAATTCTGCTCCTGCTGCCGCCCGGAAGCACTCATCTGGCTCCTGCACCCACTCACCTGCATCCTCCCCCTCCCACGAGGTGTTAAGAGCTGTGGGATGAGTAAAGGAGGCCTGTGAAGGATTTCCTGTTTCAGTCTTACATTCAGGTCTGAGTTCTCAGAGGAATCTTTCTAACACCTAAATTGTTAAAAGTTATGTAACCTTCCACCAAGAAAGCAAATTCTCCCATTTTGATGCCTATTGTGTGCAGGCTCTGAAAACTGTCAGAGGAGAAGATAAGAATTCAGTCCTTGCCCATAGTCAATGGCTTTAGTGTTTCTTCCATCTATTTTCCAGGAACAAAGGATATCTATGAGAAATTAATTGTCAAATCTATCAAACATTAAAAGAAGAACTAATACTAATCCTTCTCAAACTATTCCAAAAAATTGAAGAAGAGAGAATATTTCCAAACTCATTTTATGATGTTAACATTAACTTGATACCAGAACCAGACAAGGATACTAAAGAGAAGAAAATTATAGGCCAATACCCCCGATGAGCATAGTTGTAAAAATTCTCAACAAAATACTAGCAAACCAAATTCAGTAGTAAATTAATGTATCATACATCCAGAGCCAGATGTAGAAAATCATAGGCCAATATCCCTGATGAACATAGATGCAAAAATTCTCAACAAAATATTAGCAAACCAAATTCAATGGCACATTAAACGGATCACACACAATGGCAAGTGGGCTTTGTCCCAGGGATGCAAAAAAAATGGTTTAACATCTGCAAATCAATAAATGTAATACATTACATTAACATAATGAAGGAGAAAAATTATCTGATTATCTCAATAGATGCAGTAAAAGCATTTGACAAAATTCAATATCCTTTCATGATAAAAACTCTCCACAAATTAGGTATAGAAGGAATGTACCTCAACACCTTAAAGGTCATATGTGACAAGCCCACAGCTAACATCATACCAAACAATCAAAAGCTAAAATCTCTTTCTCTAAGATAAGCAACAAGACAAGGGTGCCCACTCTTGCCACTTGTATGCAACAAAGCACTGGAAGTCCTAGCCACAGCAATTAGGCAAGACAAAGAAAGAAAAGACATCTAAATTGGAAAAGAAGAAAAATTGTCTCTATTTGCAGATGGCATGATCTTATATATTAAAAACTCTAAAGCCTCCACCAAAAAACTGGTGAAACTAATACATTCAGTAAAGTTGAAGGATACAAAATTAATATGCAAAAATCAGTTGCATTTCTATATGCTAACAATGAACTATCTGAAGAAGAAACCAAGAAAATATGGATGAAAGAAATCAAAGAAGACACAAATAAATGCAAAGATATTTCATGTCCATGAATTGGAAAAATTAATATTGTTAAAACACCCATGCTACCCAAAGTGATCTACAGATTTAATGCAATCCCTATCAAAATCCCAATGGCATTTTTCACATAAATAGAAAAAGCAACTCTATAATTTGAATGAAACCGAAAAAGACTGAATAGCTGCAGGAATTTTAAGCAAAAAGGACACAACTGGAGGCATGATACTACCTGACTTCAAAACCTACTATAAAGCTATAGCAATTAAAACAGCATGGTATTTGCATAAAAACAGACATTGATAAACAGAATAGAGAGCCCAGACATAAATCTATGCATTTATGATCAATTGATTTTTGACAAATATATCAAAACATACAATGGGGAGAGTACAGTCTCTTCAATAAATAGTGTTGGCAAAACTGGATATCCACTTGAATAAAAACAAATTAGACCTCTATCTCACACCATATATGAAAATCAACTCAAAACTAATTAAAAACTTAAATGTTAGATGTGAAACTGTAAAACTATGAGGAGAAAACACAGGGAAAAAGCTTCATGACATTGATCTGGGCAAAGATATTTTTGGATATGGCACCAAAAGCACAGGCAACAAAAGCAAGAATAAATAAATTAAAGTAACTGCACAGTGAAAGAAACAATCAACAAAATGGAAAGCCAATCCAGAGAATGGGAGAAAATATTTGCAAACCATATATCCAATAGTGGGCAGTATCCAAAATATATAAATAACTCCTATAACTCAATAATAAACAAAACAAAACAAAATAAAAACATTCAAATAACCTGATTAAAAATGGGCAAAGGACCTGGATAGACATCTTTCAAATAGTACATACAAATAGGCAGCAGGTATATAAAAAGGTGCTTGAGATCACTAATCATCAGGGAATTGCAAATCAAGACCACAATTAGGTATCATTTCACACCTGTTAGAATGGCTATTATCAAAAAAATGAAAGATAATAATTATTAAGGATATGGAGAAAAGGGGAAGGTGTACACTGTCGGTGAGAATGTAAATTAGTACAGCCATTATGGAAAACAGTATGGAGTTTCCTAAAAAAAAAAATTATAATTAGAACTGTCATATGATTCAGCTGTTCTACTTTTGGGTTTGCATCTGAAGGAAATGAGATCAGTATCGTAGAGATATCTGTATTCCTATGTTCACTGAAGCACTATTCACAATAGCCAAGATAAGAAAACAAGAATTTGTTGATAAATAAATAGTTAAGTTGTATAATATATACATATAGATACATATATATGTATCTATATGTGTGTATACACACACACACACACACACACACACACATACATAGATACAATGGAATGTTATTTAGCCTTAAAAAAGAAGGAAATCCTGACATTTGGAACAACATGGATGACCCTAGAGGACATTATGCTAAGTGAAATAAGCAAGGCACAGAAAGGCATGATATCACTTATAAGTGGAATCTAAACAAATCAAACCTGGATAAACAGAGATTAGAATGGTGATTGCCAGGGGCTGGGAAGTGGTGAAATGGGAGAATATTAGTCGAAAGGTATAAATTGTCAGTTATGAGATAAATTACAGAGATGTAATGTGTAGCATGGTAACTATAGTTACTAATAATGCCTTGTATAGTAGAAATTTTCTAGGAAAATAGATCTTATGTGTTCTAATCTCAAGAAAAAGGTAACTATGAGGTGATGAATATGTTTGATGGATATATTAATTAGGTTGATTATGGGAATCATTACAAAAAGTATACGTATGGAAAAAGACACCATGTTGTACACCTTTAATATATCCTATTTAAAAATTTTCCAAACGGGCTTGGTGGCTTATGCCTGTAATGCCAGCACTTTGGGAGGCTGAGGCAGGCAGACCACCTGAGGTCAGGAGTTCGAGACCAGCCTGACCAACATGGAGAAACCCCGTCTCTACTAAAAATGCCAGATTAGCCAGTCGTGGTGGTGCATGCCTGTAACCCCAGCTACTCCAGAGGCCGAGGCAGGAGAATCCCTTGAACCCAGGAGGTGGAGGTTGCGGTGAGCCGAGATAGCGCCATTGCACTCCAGCTTGGGCAACAAGAGCAAAACTCCGTCTCAAAAACAAAAAACAAAACCAAAACAACAACAACAACAAATTCCAATAAAACTTAAATGAATTTCACAGAAAATATACCTCTAAACTGAGGGGAAACTCAGTTTTGTCTTCTACTCTTTCAGTGTACTCTGTCTTCAAAAATCATGGTGAACATGTGCCCATTAGGTAATTGTTGAATCTTCACTCCCTTTTGGAGTCTCCCAGGTCTATTATTCCCCTCTGTATTTCCATGCATACCCATACTTTAGCTCCTACTTATAAGTGAGGACACAGAGTGTTTGATTTTCTGTTTCTGAGTTATTTCACTTAGGGTAATGGCCTACAGCTCCATTCACGTTGCCACAAAAGACATAATTTTATTATTTTTATGGCTGTATAGTTAGTCTTTATAGTCATGTGCTGCCCCTTCTCACATCTCAAGTCTTCCAATACAGAGAGGCAATCTTTTAAGCTGGTGTCTTACTGGATAAGACTTCCTAATAGCAAAATTCTCACAGAGTTGGTCTGCTTCATTTTATTTTGTTTCATGGATCTAGAATTTTTGATAATTACAGAAATGATTTAATAATAAGTCAACCTTTGAAAGACACAAAGAGTCTCCATATTGAAGCCTCTTGTGCATACATGTTAAATAAATTTGTGTGTCTTTTCTCCTATTAAAAAAAAGAAAGACAAAGAAGAAAAGGGCATATGCTCATATTCCTTGTATAGATGGTCCTAAAATTGCATCAGTGGTCTCTGCTATATTATAGATTCACACAACTATTTTTTGGTAGGATTAAGTTTAATTTTTTTTCTTGAAATTGTAATAATGCTCCTCAATGTATTTTTTCAAAATAGCCCAATATAGTCTGTTGTGGAATGTAGCAATGATTCAATAAGAAAAAAGGTATGGTTATTTTGAAAACCACCAAAAAGCATTTGGTAAAATTCAACAACCATTCTTAATAACAATTCTTGGAAAGAGGAAGATAAAGAAATATTCTTAGCATTAAACACACAGACATACGTTTCAAAAATTAACATAAAATATATCTAACAGTGAAACATAAAAAGAATTCCATTAAAGGAAGATCAAAACTAGGCTGATCACACTCAATGCTGTTATTTAACTTAGTACTTCTGGAGAAATTTAAGGCACAAGTTACAGACACACCGTGTTTGGTTTATAAGTTTATTATCGTGACAGCATTTTTAGTGGTCTTGGTATTTTTTTTACAAATGCAACAGTTTATTAAGAATTTATGCGGGATTGTGAAATTAGAGGCGTCATCTGATTTGGAAGTTGGAATCGCCCCACAGCCTTCACTGGGCCACTGACAGATGTTTAGCAGCCAATATGTCTGTGCCTGGTATGATACCATTTTGGTTTTCTGTAACTGACTTTGCATTTCTGCCCCTTTAGGTAAAACTAGTACTATGATTTATCTTTGCAATAAAGTTATTCACCCCACGTGAACGTCACAGCCAGTTCCAGATTTAGCAATGAGATCTAAACCTGCTCTTCACACAATCTAGCAGAGAGGTAATAGAGCGTAGGGGTTAAACATGCAAACACTCGAACTTGACAGCCTGAATCCAAATTTTGGTCCAGCCAGTTACTAGCTGGTGACTCAGGGCTTGTTGCTTAACCTCTCTGTGCTTCACAGTCCCTATCCGTAAAATGGAAACAATATTAATAGCATCTACTTTATTGCATTGTTGTGAGGATTAAATGATTTAATGCCAGTAAAGTGCTATGAAATGTGACCTAGCAGGGAGACATATTATGTCTCTGTATCAAGCATAAACACTTCCTCATATAACTTCTGCAGACAACCTCAGCACTGACCATCATGGCTATACCAGGAGTCAGGGAGCACCACTCCACTCCACACCACGTTACAACCACAAAGGACATTAAAGTTTCTCCAGTCTAACTCTCATTTTACAGATGAGGAAGCTGCAATCTGATCTAGGGTCTGAAGTCACTTTCCTAAGTTCACAATGTTAATTGGTGGCCAGTTCAGAGCGACTATGTCTTTGGTTATATAAAGAAGCACAGACAACTTGAATGTTACTTCACTCCCATTCTTTTAATGAAGTTTATACTCATAAAACAACAATAATAATAAACAATAAAACCACCCAATCTTAGTTTATACTCATAAAACAACAATAATAATAAACAATAAAACCACCCAGTCTTACTAAGCTATTTCCCTTGTGGGAGAGTCGAACATGACGTATTTTCTAATACTAAATTTCTTGGAATAAGTAAACAACGACAGAGGACATTAAAGTTTATTTTATTGTAAACAAATAATCACATTAATCACATAGCATTTCAGATATCCATTACCACTCACTTCTTTAAACTTCTTGATACTATGAATGCAATGTAAAATGCAAAGTAGAATATCTCCCTGGGTCTCACACAAGGTCAAACTCATTTAATATTAGATGAATCTTGAAGAGAAAGTAGCTCTGTAGTCTATAGTTCATGACATAAAACTTAAATTTAGTGTCCCACATCTCAGAACAGGAAAATAAGCCAAAATTCTCTAGTAATAATCTTTCCCAAGCATTATTTCCCAAGAGACTCTAAATTGTTCCCATGTCACACTCAATTTGCTCCCATAATCATTTTTTATTTCCATCCTTAATCTCCATTTTGAAAATTAAGATGCTGACTTCCAGCACAGGTTCCTTTTAAAATGTGCTATTAAACACTAGGGGCTAGCTTCTATCTGATTTGTAAAATGGTCTTAAGTAGAAGTTGTTTTAATGTTCATAGCTACATTTAATTTTAAGGGGCAGGAAATACTAGCTCCTGTGAGATGTCCTTCATTTTATTTGTTAGGTATAAAGCTGGCTAAAGTAGGAAATGGAAAGTAGGAAATCTTAAAGATGATCAGTGCAATTATTTTGTATTAAAATTGCAAAACACGCCAGTCTAGCTCTCCATTTTCCTGGAGTAAATAATTTTAATACCATGACCGCAATTCTATAACAGCCTTGTCAGAAAGAACCTGTGACTTACTCATTTGATTTCTGAAATCTACGATCAAAGAGTCATTTTTTTAGATCAGGATTTTCTAAGTTTGGTTAATTTTCAGAGTCACCTGGATTCCTTGATCCCACCTGAGATCTACTGAGTTAGAATCTGTAAGAGATGGATTTAGGACTGTATCTTTTTCACAAGGAGTCAATGTGTTTCTGGGAGTTTGCTAAGTTTGAGAAGCTCTGCTTTAATTTGAAATGTATGTTGTACTGTTAAGGGGCACACCTTTGGAAACTCAAGATATTTAAGCTCTTTAATGACTTGTTTACATCTGAACCTATGTGATCTATCCTGAGAACAATTCTGAAGCAAGAGCTGTGAGTAACAACACTGAGGAAGAGAGAAGAGAGTGAAAAGAGGGAAGACAAGTGCCCATGGGCTTGTACCCCATTTCTATGTTGGCAGGGAAGGAGAAAATGAAAACTCCTCTATGAGGACTATGCTCTTGGCTCCCCACAAGAGTAGAAATCACTGTATTGATTTAGAGTCTGCATATTTTGTTACAATTTATAGTAAAACAGATGTTTATTTTTTGGGAAAGTAAATGCAGAATAAACCAATTTCAATGTATGTGTTTAATGATGCACTGAGGATGTGAGAACCTGTTTACGTAAATTACACTCTAAAGGTTATTTTTTCTTTGTTTCCTTTTTATAATATCACAATGAAAAATAGTTTCTAGTGCCTTCCAGTGTATTGTTTTCTAAATTTGTATTGCATTATATATTGAAGTCCAAAGCCTATGTTTTCCTTTAGTGAGTGTGGCAACCCAGGGTTTTGGCCTCCTGTGGACTAGATCTAGGATATATGAGTCAGCCCCTCAATTCTGAAATGAGAGAATAAAGATCTTGCCAGAGAATCCAGGACAGCTTTTCCAGTAACAAACAAATGCATGAACAATCAAACAAACATTAAGCATCTGTGCCCATGTCTGCGCCATTACAAGAACATCTTCATCATATTTGAACTTTTTAAAATATGATAAGACTGGAATTACTTGTACATGATGTGTAAAAGGTTTGTTTTGGCATGATTTATCATGCTGTATTTTTAAAAATTATAATGCAGGCACAGTTTATTCAACTTTAACTAATTATTTATAAATCCAAGAACTTGAATAGATCACAAAATGATTAATGCAGGTGCTGGCCTCATAGTCCAGTATAACTTTCCTTAAATTATAAAGACTGGTTTTTAATTATTTATTCTATGATGGTACTGCCCTTTGAATAATATATTAAATAATATCAAACTATGGAAGTGAATTATAAATTAATACCATTGAAATGACCTGAGACAATATGATAAAGAATAGATAAATGGATGGATAAATAGATAAATAGATAGATGGATTTTAAGCAGGGGAGAGACAAAAATCTTCTTTTATATTTTATTAACATTATCGTATGTGTAGCAAATTAATTTAAACAGAGGAGAGAAGACCAATAACAATGATAATAAAATACTTGGTAAAGAGTGAAGGAGTGAAGCACTGTCCCTTAAAATCGTAGCACAGAGTTTCAAGGAAGAAGCCCTTGTAGTGGCCTTATTGATAGATGACCTCCCTCTGTGGTCTGCACATTTAGGGCCCAGTGCTTGTATTTTATAACAATTACTAGATTCCATGATCTCACACAGTTAATTAGTGACATACATAGGATTTGAATATAAGTTTCTCTGAGTCTAAAATCACAGTACTCTGAGTGTGTATTGGTGTACATTTTTGTATCCTACGTAAACCATCTAGTGTTTAAATTAAACCCTAACCACTGGTAAAGCTATCAATATTTTTAACAAATAAATTATTATATTGAACCCATGGCAAAAAAGAATTATGTAACTACATAGTATAAAATTTGACTGAAAATTAATATCACTCTATAACATAAACAATGAAACTTATAATATTAAACATGAATATTAACCTGAGCTGGGCAGTTATTTGTATTAATAGTATAATTAATGTTAAATAAAAGTATGTCTGAATGCCTAATATAAAATGAATAATATATGTAAAGAGATTTTCTCTGGTAGCAAAATTAAAAGTGAAAGCCTGCTACTAGGTGTAAATTTGTTAGTATTAAAAGTATTTAGGATAAAGAGTATCCGGTTCTGAAAGAGTAGCTGACAAACATCTATTCTACCGCTGATTTCTTTGCACTATAAAATTATGTGAGTAATGCCCTTTACTGAGCAGATTTATATTATGGTAATATCATTATTTTTATCCTGAATGTAATTATTCAAAGCTAGTCTTTCAGTCACAACTAATTTTGTACTATGGTGACTCATATGTCTCACCATTAAATAAGGAAGCATATACTGTTAGACTTTTTTAAGATAACTAAAGCTAAAGATTTGCATAGTTAACCTTGTTATATTTCTGTTGACTTAGGTATGCTAAGCTAAATATTATAAAAAGTACAATAAATGAACTATTTTGTCATTATTTGAGAAGAAAAAATGTGATGGTGGAAAGTGTCAGGAGTCGCTGTGTTGCTTACTCTCGGGCTGAGTGTCACCACTGTGAAGCTGCATCTCCGCTGCTAAATTGCCAACATCGTGACTCAGCGTCACACAGACTGGCCTCAAAGCCAGGTCATACATTTTGTAACTCTGATATAAGCAAGCCCTATGAACTGGACTTTCTTTCCTTAAAAAATAAGGGTGTCCCAGAGGTCCCCAAACAATAACACCAATTTTCACTCTCATGGAAACTGCCTCAAATGGCAGGGAATTACCATGAAATCTATGAGGATGAAAGGGTCTCAATCTCTCACAGACTCCCTAAAGAAGACAGAACAAATTTTACTGGCTTCTATATGTCAAAAGGCAAGAGGAAGAATGGGAGCAGATTATCAAGGAGCCTCTACTAATTAATGACTCCCTGTCATGTAGCAAGATCTCAAATCTATAGGCAGAGGACATGCTGGAGTCCCTGAGTTAGGCTCCAAGGTACTGAGGGCTATACATACCTGGTTGTTATGGAGTATCAGTGGGCAAACCAGGACCTGAATTGAAGCATCTTAAACCACAGAAAACAGCCAGCATTTCTTACCTCTTTTGAATAACTTTATTTAATCAGATAGATTTTGGGAAAATCCCAGCTCTGCCACTTACGTAGTATTCGTCCTATAATAAGTGACTCAAATACTCACATATAACAAAGAGGTAATAATAATGCTTGCCTGCCTCATTGGATCCACTAGGTTCTGGCTGGCATAGAACTTATACAAAATAAATGATCAATATATGCTAGTATTCATTTTTAACACAGAGATAATATTTCACCAGAAAATCAAACTATTGTCATGCCTCATTTTTGTTTAAATTTTAGAAGGGTTTTGTGATTCATGAAAGGTAATAAAATTATAATAAAGGTTTTGCAATACACCTTGTAATGAATGAAAGTCACTTTGATAATATTGGAGATATACAATAACTTTCCTAATGGAAAATTTTTTAAAGAATGGGAATATGGCAGTTGCTAAATTGATTTCTGCTGTTCTAGTGAATAACTACATTAGTAAAATTAGGATAATTCTGACTATTTGCTTAAGTCCATTTTGAATAACTGCTTCATTATATCAATCCTAGTATTTAGAATATGGATAAGAGTTTACATGTAGAAATTATTAAATAGAAAAATAGCAATCTGACATCTACAGGTGGCTCTGTGATTATAGATTAGGATTTTCCTTACTTTCGAAGACTCATTAATGAGATCTATTGTGCAATGGCTCAAGTCCATTTCATTCCGTTTTGGAATCATTGCCTATGGACTGTTTAATAATCCAGCAAAACTGTGTTTGCTCAGCCAAGAAATAGGAAACCTACTTGAAGAAGAGTGGTAAAGACTTTTAAGGGATGAGGCAGTTTCATCCTGCTCTCCAACACACTGATAATGAAATTCAAAGACTTACTCCAAAATCACACAGAGTTAGTGGGGCGAGGCTGCGGCTAACTCTCAGATTCAGATTTCTTGACCATTAGCTCAGTGAATGTCTGGCACAGACATCCTTTTGTTTGTGCTTTTTGTTTAGCGTGTCCAAGGACTTCAATGTGTCAACCCTTACCTGGATGTGCAATCTTCCATGATCATCATGGAATTTAAATGCTGAGCATATGGCCCTTAAATCTCCAATCCTCACAGAGTAGAGGGAGAGTTACTGTACCAGTGTTGGTAGAGAATATCTCTAACTCACACTCTCTTTTTGCTTACACCCTCCTACTTATCCACATGTCATTCTGGAACTCCCTTTCTGCTGGCATAGCTCATTCTACTTCCCTTCTGCTGTAGACTCTGTCTTCAGTTTGACCTTCTCTCCCAATTTCAGCTTTTTCTCTCCATCTACTGCCCCTTCTTCAGCAGGTTTGGGTCACTGTTTCTCCACCTTGCCTTATTAAGTATTGGTGGTCAAGGCAATTATATAATTTGGAACAACACTGACATGGACAGTAGAGGTAGATAAAGACATGGAAGGGAAAGATAAAGGAAGACAAAACATTTCTGACATGTGGTCTTTGGAAAATATCCAGCAAGTAGTACTAGACGGTCAATTGTACTGTGTAAAATAAAGGATCTAATTTCTTCCCCTCTTTGAAATTCCCCCAGCCCAGTATCCCCTCCCAACTACCCTCCCCCATCACCTCAGTGCTTCTTCCCTTCTCCCTCAGATCCTACCATGGTTCTTCACTCCCTGCAGCCGCACCTGTTCCAAGTCAGTGAAACACCTGCAAGGCCACAGTGTGGAGCAGGACCTTGTCTCACATTGTGAAGTACACATGCTCCAGACATCTGAATGTGGAATTAAGGACCCATTTTTGTCTAAGGCATTGCTATGTGAATGCTCAGCACTTAATTATGCAATAGGTGAAGTCCCTACTGAGGGCACCAGCACAGCTGTGGCAGGAGAAATGAGATAAATCCATCCTCCCCTTTGGATACACTTACTTGAGATGTTTGCAATAAAAAAATTTAAAGGGTTATTTTGATTTGGGGATGTAAATAAATATCATGTCATTATAAAAAAGCAATATGTTATCTAGAATCGTGTAAGGGCATCATAATCTTTGCATAATCTTTGTAGTACTTACATCTTAACACAACCTAGTGGTATTTCTTGTATACTAAAGTTTAAATATGTTTCTGTGGGCCCACCTGTGGACCAACCCTATGTAAAACATTATCTACTCGGGAAAAGTTCATTCTGAGCTTCAATCAGTCAATTTACGAATTTGCCAAAATGTTAACAAGTTAAAGACTACGTATAACCTATAAGGTATTTTATCTTTTCAAGTGCCTTGAAATTACTCAAAAAAGCAATTTATAACCTAGTTTTAAAAATCCTAAGTGAAAAAGTTAGTCATAATGTGGAGCATCTATTTAAGACCAATAGGTTAAAATAAAAACACACCTATCTTTTACTTAAATGAAATTTATTGTTGCTGTACAAGTATAGTATATATCTTTAGAGTTGTATTATCTTCATTCAAAAGCCACCATTCCCTTATCTAAATAGTGCTCTAAAAGTTCAATTTAAAAAAAGACATTGAATTTTAATGGCTTTTGTTTTGAAAGCTGTTCCCTGACATAATTGGGAATGTCTTATGCTACTATAAATTCATGATTAGGAATGAGTAGCTTATGTAAATGAGGTAAAATGAGATTTTTGATTTGATATTTTCGCCCATCAAATTCTTCCATTGGCTTAAGTGACATGGAGTCATCTTTCAGCCACTGGTGTCCTTAAATAGTAAGACATAATCCCTGGGGCAAAACTCTCTTGGCCCAGAAAACTACAGAGGGGATGCAGAGATAAGCCAGGATGGATGTGAGGATGGCAGAAAACTATCTACCTGCTCCTCTTACTTGTGAAATAATGGCCAACACTATTTTAGGTGCCAAAACCTATCTCATGAATTCCTAGCAGTGAATCAGTAAGGCAGAAAAATGGCATAATATGATACAGTCGTATTTATTATGTGATAGTTGATGTAATTAATTAATTGAACTATTTTTTTAAGGTTTAGGCTCCAAGTTCAGCTTTTGTAATTTTCTTTTCATAGGAAAGATGTACAGACTTAATTAAACTAATAATTGTTTTTCAATAACTGAGACTTAAACTGTTCTTTGGGCATAAAATTGTAAATGATTTGATGACAGATGAGAAGAGACAGTGTTTGCATCCCTGATTGCAGTGCATGTGGTGGTCCACATCTAATGTATTTATATATTAGTGATTATTAAACTGTGGACACATTTCTCCTGTAGCTGCATGTCCTTTCAAAGTTAGAGCCTGAAGCTCTCTAGTGGACTGTACCTTATATAATTCTGTGGCCAGTTTAAATCTAATAAGAAAATTGGCTTCATTACAATACATTAATCTTTTAAAGGTATGATTCTTAAAGTGATAACAAATGGTTTTCTCAAAATCTGTCAAAATATAAAAAGATTTAAAATTTATAGGGATGTTTGAGGATGTGTGTGTGTATCTGTTTGTTTGTGTGTATGTACCACCAACAAACCTCACTGTAGTAATACATGACCCACTAATTTGGATGTCAGATTTTTAGGTCTAGAGCAAAGATGGGAATTAGAAAGTGGGTAAAAATGCCGCCTGAGATAAATGCCTTAAAGCCATGTGCTTTTCTTCATCAGAGGGAGACACACAATTTACCTCACTCAGTTACCCAGCCACCCAATGTCTACTGAGCACCCATTATATGCTGGGCATTGCATATAATGGAGGTGGGCTCATGAAGGTGGGCTACTCTGTCCATAAGAAGCTCTGAGTTAAATGAGGAAACAAATGGGAACAAATAGTTATGATAAAATATTAAATTTGAATAATAGAAGTATGTTTTCAATTGTAAGAACACACAGGAATAGTTAATTATGCCCGAGGAAAGCATTCCAGAGCAGATATTTTAATGGGAGCTAAACAGATGAGTAAGCATTTGGAAGACAGGAAAGAGACAGTCGACATTTCAAACTACAGGAAGAATCTAGCACTAAGTGTTATTCTCAGAGATGCGCAAAGGAGTCTATATGGCTATGTGGGTGAATGCACGGGGCAGAGATTTTTTCTAAGCTCTGATAAATAAAGAGTAGCATTCTGTCCCAAAAGTCACTCATAATTTATTCCCCAAATTTTCATTGAGAGTCACACTGATGGAATTCTTAGGTCAAAGCACTGTTTTGTGTACCAAAAGTAAATTTGCTTCCTGTTCCCAAGGATTCTGTTGAGATGAGGGTGGATAATATGTAGTGTATTAGCTGACCAGCCTGGGCGGGGACATGGATAGAATGGAGGGAAAAGAATACAAATTAACAGCGAAAGCACTGCTGTCTGGAGCAACGTAAGATAGGAAAATACAGCTGAATTCACCTCACAAACCGTAAGGACCTCATTGCATCTCTGGGAACCACAATAATTCACACACATCACGTTCCTCTGAGTCACCAAGAAAAAATTACATCATACAATTTTATAATCAGAATAGAACTTAGAGGTCATCACTTCCCCTCCATCCCAAATCACTGCTGAAGACTAGGATCTAGTTTCTCCTTTTCCTGCTGAAAGTGAAACGAATTTCAGTATTTGTAAAGCTGTTAGTTTACTCTCACTTTAGACAGCTCTGAGGGTGGTAAAAATCTCCATATGTTACACTGAAATCTGCCTCCCTGTTAATTTCCTCCCCTGGGGAGTTCCTGAGAGGATGAATAAACTACTATCTTCTGCTCTTCAAACCTTGGAGTTATATTTGATGTTGGATAAGAGAACACAAAAATGTGTCTGTAGGAGCTTTCAGCTCTTTAAGATCTCCAACACACAAGAAATAGTATCTCCAGGCACTGTATCATTTGTTTCATTCCTGACTGTATATATGCCAAGTTGTGGCCATGCCAGGTCCCACAATGATGTGTTTTCCTGCATATTTGTGAAAACAGTTCACAGGCTGACATTTTTCCTCCTTGGGGATGCAAAGCCAGTGTGCCAAAATGACCTACAGCATTCTCAGGCCCATCCTCAGGTTTTTCTTGTATAATTCATGAACATATATAAAAAAGTTACAAAGCTCTTTCTAAGATAGAAGAAGAGCTCACCCAGAGCCAAAATTTATGTATCTGATGGGTGTCAGTATAAAACCACACTTAAGTTCTACCCTCAGTAAAAGAACTGGGTCAACTATGCAGATTGGTTGCTTACTAAGCTCAGATATTTCCTAATTTTTTCTAATTCTAATCAACTTGAAGATTCTCTTCCTTATTTTTACTTATCTATATCCATGGAGCTTCTGACTTAAGTTTTGTAGTAGTTGTGCTCTACTCTTTGAAAACCCACCACCATTCCTTTCAGTATCCTATTCTGTCTTGCATGTATCTCAGGGCCCTTTCACTGCCTCCTGACTTTTCAGGAATGTGCCTTCACCCGTCCTGTAAACTACTTCCATGGGCTAGGTTGGTTCCTCAGTTGGCTACTCAGTCAGTTAACTAATACTTAGGTCTACATCATAGACCTGCACTGCACTAGGATACAAGAGTAAACAAGGAAATGTAAATCCCTGCCTTCACGAGGCTTAATAGTCTGGTGATAGAGGCAGAAAAAAAAGCAAACAATTTTAAGGGAGCATGACGGATAGTGAAAAAATATATAGAGTGCTATAAGGACCTGGAGAAGGAGAAGTTACCTGGAAGGCTTTCTAGAGGAAAAAACTGAGACCTAAGGATTGGCAGAAGTTAACTACATGAGGGGGTCTCATGAAGGAATAATACACACGATATGGTTTTTATTAGAGATGAGAGAGCAGGATATGTTTAGAGAGCTGAAAGAAGTTCCTCATGGTTGGAACATGAACCAGGAGTGGTCAAACAGTAAGAGATGGAGCTGCACAGGTAACAGGAGTAAACTTGCAAAGAGGTTTGTGAGTCATGTGAGCCATGTTAATGGCAATGAGATTCATTAAAGAGTTTTAAGCAAGCGGTGACATGACTAGATATGGTAACATAACACAGGCTGCATGGAGATGAAAGTATTTCAAGAGCAGATTGGATGCTGAAAGACCAATAGGGAGGCTATGGCAGTGATCCAGGGAGAAATGGTGACCTGGATCAGGTTCGTGGTAGCAGGGATAGAGACGTGGTTGAATTGCAGAGGCATTTAACAGATATACTCAACAAGACTTCATACTTGATTTAATGTTAAGAGTGATGCCAAAAAAAAAAAAAAAAAAAAGAACTGAGAGAGCTGCCAGGTTTCTGACTTTGGTGACTGGGTAGATGGCAAAATTGAGACTGGGAAGATAGGAGGAAGCACACTTGGGGGAATGTTAGAAGTTCGGTTTTGCAAAGGTTAAATGTGAAGTGACTTTGGGATGTCCACGAAAAATATAGACAAGTTCTCTGAACTGCATATTATTTTATTCAGCATGCTGAATTTCACACAGTCATCATCTTGTGCTCCTTTATTCCTTTAACTTCTTGTTTTAACTCATTCCTCTTAGGTAGCTCCCTATTGGGTAGGCTATAGGAGAAAGGGAGAAGTTATTTATATCACTTTTTAGTTATAATAATGTAATGTGCGTTATTTGGCAATAAAAGCTGGATAGCAGCTGGCAGTATAAATTCATTTTCAAATAGTCTTGGCAAACAATTGAATCCAACCTCCACAACAAAACTTGAGCAGACCTCAAATGGTTGCTTTGGGGCTCACTGAAAATTTTGATGTTCTAAATTACTCTTCTTAGGATTCACATTCTGTGAAACTTTCATTTTATTATTTTGCAGTGAAACAATATGGAGAAGGTATTTTTGATTGTGAAAAATGAGACTTTTGATGAAATGATTGTATTACTAAAGAAGCTCCATCAATCACTGTTCAGATGCTTAAATATTACAAACGGAAGCATTGCCACTTACATTGAATAGTTTCACCATCTGTCTCAACAAAGAACACATTTGGAAATTTTTTAGATGCTGTGTAATCTTCTATTATGTTGGGTTTCCACAAAGGATTATTACTTGCCTCTCAACTGAACTACATTTGATAATTTTAAAGATCCGGGAAAATGATCTAGCAAAAGAAATTGCATAGCTGATTTTCTCAAATCAAAGGAGTAGTTTTCAATATATAGTAATGTTCTTATCATTTCGGTAAGCAATGCAGAGATGCACTCATTTCAGAAAAGCAACAGTTCATTCAGACATCAAACACTGATCATTTTGTAGAGAATTACGTTGGTACTTTGCTTGAAGAGTCGTTGGGGGCAGAATGCAGACACTTGGATAACATGGCATTCAAAATCTAATAGAATGAGCATCAGTGCCCTAAACTTGATAGTTCTTATTTATATTACAATAAATAGCAATAGATCCCCGTAAGAGGCTTTATAATTCTGCAACAATATTTATTGATGGCTGTGAACTCTGAACCTAAAATGGACTTTAGTCAGCTATCCATTATTGACTAAGACAGTCAATAAATTTAAAAATAATTTTATTTTTAAAGCATCAGTTGTCAAGTTGCTAAAACCAATATGCTTTTCTTTAAGATTAAAATCTTAAGGAAGTTTCTGAGAGCTTTACTGTGAACATTACAATGTGTTTTCCACACGAAGAAGCTTCAGTTTGTTCAAGCAAGGACATAACACAAAAGGCTTTTGGAAACAAGAGATTTCCCTGATCACTGAGGACGTGAGAGGCATTTATGCCAGTCGAACTAGTGGGCTACAGGAAAGTAGTCAATATGTTTCCCAAGGGATTCTTTGAAAAACTGGAAACTTGTTATAAAAGTGAACCAATGTCATTATAGTCATCCAGTTCTGTCATTCCACCAATTTGAATGCTAGAAATTGATTTTTGTAAAAAAAAAAAAAAAAAAAGCATAATATTGTATTCAAATACACTGTGCTCAAACTAGTTATGTTTATCTCATGAGCTGCACCAATAATTTTGGAGTCAAGAATTCTTTGCAGAAGTGAAAGAAAAGTTCAAATAAATAGAAATTTACAAGTTTTCTCACTTTGAAGGAAAGAAAGACCTTTACAGGAAAAAAGAAAAATGGAGCTGCTTGTCTAACAACCATAATTTAGATGGTTTCTAAAATGCAACCTCTTGCCAAAACAACCAGAAGGCAAATTTACTTCAAAGGAAGAAAGGCTGAAATGATAAGCCTGTTACATGCTGGGCGGTGTGCTAAGTAAACAGTTTCATAAAATTATTACATTTAATCCTCAAAACAATCCTATTGGGCAGAAATGATTATTGCCATTTTACAAATGAAGGAATAGAAATTGAGAGAGTGTATGTACCTCTCAAGGTGGCAAAGTTCTAAATATAAGAAGCAGGACTCAAAATCAAGTCTAGATGTTTCCAAAGTCCAAAGTCCTAGTACACCATAAACTGAATGTTGGTATATATTGGCCAGAGAGTAAAAATGACTTCATATGATTTTATTTAAAAAGTTAATATGGCAGAACTCTATACAATCACCCATTTGGGGGTGGCAGGAGGCTAAAAGCAGTTTATCATTTGGAGCTAAACTTGTTTAGTTTTGTTTGATCTCCAACCCCTACTTCTTTTTTGTCCCTAACGCAGGTGGTTTGACTTCTCCATGCCAGCTCAGGCCCACATTCATCCCTAAGACATGTAAACCAAAAATAAAATTCGAAGCCCCCAACTGACTGATGGACCCCCATCTCAACCAAGGGCATTCCAAAGTAAACCTGAAAATCTAGTTCAGGCCATGATGGGAAGGCAGGGGTTGGACATGCCTCATTATACTCTCTTCTCTTTGGAATTCAGGCACAACTGACCAACATTAACATTAACACAGAAATCTTAAGACTAACCAAACAGACTTTTTGTAGCAATAATCCACCAAATTTCAGCCTGACTCCAGTATAGCATCACATGACAGATAGCAGGCCCTGAATGAAATCAAAGTATTTTACCCAAAATATATTTATTTGACATATTTTGAAATGGCTCTGCAAAATGGTCTCTTGTGGGGAAAATGCACATTCTGTGGAGAGTCCCTTTTCCTTTCCAGGACTTTTCCGTGATCCAGGAAAGAATTAACTAAGAGTCTGGCACCTTTTTAGGTCTGATAAGCCTCTGAAGCCTGCTGCCTGGAGGCTTCATCTTCAGATAAACCCTTGGTCTCCACAATCCCTTAGCTTAACCCAGACATTTCTTTCTATGGATACCAGGTCTTCAGATAATACCTCTTTCAGCCAATTGCTAACCAGAAAATGTCTGAGTCCACCTATGACCTGGAAGTCCCTTGCTTCCAGTTGTCTCACCTTTCCAGACTGAACCAACGTACATCTTCCATGTATTGATTGATGTCTTATGTCTCCCTAAAATGTATAAAACCAAGTTGCAACCTGATCACCTTAGGCACATGTTCTCAGGATCTCCTGCGGCTGTGTTACAAGCCATTCATTCATTGGTCACTCATATTTGGCTCAGAATAAATCTCTTCAAATATTTTACAGAGTTTGACTCTTTTCATCCACAAAGAATTCCTGGCTTTAGTTGGACAGGTTTTAGGAATGCAGCCATAAACCTGGGTGTGATAGACAGAAAACTGTACCCCCGCTCACATGGTGTCTAAGTCTTAATCTCCAAAACCCATGAATATGTTACCTTACATGGCAAAAGGAACTTTGACATTGTGATTAAGGATCATGAGTTTGGAAGGTTATTCTGGATTATCCAAGTGGACCCAATGGAATCACATGGGTCCTGATAGAAGCTGGAAAATGCAAGGGAATGGAAATCCTCTATTTACTACAGGAAGAATGCAGCCCTGCCAACACCTTAATTTTAGAACTTCTGACCCCCAGAACTGTAAGATAATACATTTGTGTTGTTTTAAGCTACTAGATCTGTGATTTGTTACAGAAGCAATAGGAAACTAATTCACTGGGTCCTTGCATCAACTCACCTTTGTTAATCTTGGCTCTGATTTTGTGCTCCAGGTCTGGTAAACAGGTCATTGTTTTGGTTCTAGTCTCTGAATATCTGCTTTGCTACTCAGATCTTAATCTTTCCAGAGGTCTTTTTTTGCTCAAGTGACTTTAAAAAGAAGTCCAACTGGAAAAAGGTAGGTACTTATAGTTGTTATATACCTCCCAATCAACAAGTCATAAGGGTGAAAAAAATCGTTGTTCTATATATATTTTGCTGAGGACAGTTTTGCAATCATAAGTAAGATGAGCTTTGTTTCCTAAGATATATTGGATTGTTGTCCTCACTATTATTTATGAGGAAGTATAGTGTACATAAAGTATGAAGTAGGAGCTGAAAGCCAAAGGCCCACATGACACCCCTAAACCTTTGGAAATGGGATTCTATTCAGTTTTTTGAACATTTTCTTCTCTAGGGGACTAAAGTCTGAGTTAAACTATTTCTTCTGAAAATATTTCACATGCCAACTGCCTGATTGAATTTCTTATGTTTTAGTTTTGGTGTTCTATTTAGAGTTACTGGGTTTTGGAAAAAAATCAGTGCAATGTATTGTGCCAAATTGCTTGAACTTTGCCTAGTTACCATTTTCCTAAATGTAGACAATTTCTATTCCACATGCTCACCACTAACCCCAGCTCCTACTTTCCAACTCTACCCCAACATTCCCTTTTCTCTTATGGAAATAGTGGGAACATTGTTTCCTTCACTACTCTGTAAATCACAGTCTTGTTCTATATAAGGGCAACAGAGGAAAGGTGAATTATCTGAATTTTGCTAGAACATGATTGATACTTATCTTGTGCAGTTTTGATGACAGAATAAATACTTGCTTTAATAAATTAGTTATATATAACCAGAATACATTCTAATTTGCTCTTCTGACTTGGCTGCTTGAACAAAGTGGCAGATGCCCTCTTCAGGTTTATTTTTGTAATAGAAACAAGATGATTTCAAGTTCCAGCAGAAAATACAATTTATTAACTCGCTTACCTAGAACGTCAGGGTCCTTAAACTTGGCCGAATCCCAAGGCTAAACTACATTGTGGGCTTCTTTCTCCCTCTCTCCAGCTCTTAGTGCTGCTTCCCCTTGTGTGCTGACCTTATCCTTTACCCTTTTTGGTTAAAAATGAGAATTTTCTGGGGAAACTGACTGCTGATAGTCTTTAATTTACAAGTCTCCAAACTCCTCAACGCCTGCCCCTCTGTTTTTAATGGTCCAAGGGAGAGGGAACTTTCAACTTCTTTCTGCTAGCATCCATATATCAACTCCAAAGAACAACTTTGGTCCCACTGTTGTACATGCTCACTTCTGTACCAGTTACTAGTTCTAGGAGAGTGGATATTGGGGTTGGATAGAACTTTACCAAATGCTTATCCCTAAAATGGAGTGGTGAGGTACTCTAACCAAGATGTACAGTAATGGGGTTTGGGAGAGGAGCAGGGCTTAAGTCTCTAAAATAATATATGGCAGCCAATCTCAGGAAAAGACTTTTCTCTGTTTATTTTTGTAGTCCTAGAACCAAAACCAGTACTTGACCAATAGTGGCATGTAATACATGTTTAGCAAATTGAATTTATTTGAATTACATTATACTTCGGCATTCATTGTTATATTAAATCATTTTAGTACATTGTGGCGATCAAGAACATTGCTCTGGAGTGAACTGACTGGGTTTACGTGTTGGCTCCATCTCAATTTCCTCACTTATATAGAATGAGACAATAACAGTACCTGCCCTTTAGTGTCCTTTGCCTAGGGAAATCAATGCAAGTAAAACACTTAACAAAATCTGTGCCATGTAGTAAGTTCTCAAAAGAATGTTACTATTATATTTGTATGTTTTCATTGTTATGTGTGTGTGTGTGTGTGTGTGTATGTATGTAAATAAAAATATGTATACACAGAGATTTTCCTATATGTATTTGTGTGTCTATACAAATGTGTGTGTATGTACCTACATACACATATACTTACACTCACATATAATTGCGTGAGTGAAAAACATACATATGTTAATTGGAATCATTCAAAAGTCATGTTTATTTCTTAGTATTAGATACTTTGCTAGATTCTATGGACACAAAGGTGAGAAATTTACAGCCCTCAAATAACTCATGAATATATACATTATAAAAGTATATTTATACATACATATACTCATGCACACACATCCTCTAATCAAGCTGGAAATCATTCCCAGAAAATATGTTTGTCGTATGTTAAAAAACAATGGTAAAATGTCGGAAAAACTGGGTTCTAGTCATACCTCTTAAATACTCTTTCAAATTTTGCATCCTATGACTTCCCTGGCTATTTAAAAACACTAATTGACTTAGTTAAGCAACTAAGAAAATATGTCTCTATGGAACAAACCTAAGCATTAATACAAATGAGTTACTTGCAAATAATTTCCGGGACTAAAGAGACCATCAAAGTCATACATGTAAGCTCATAACCAAGCCTTGACCCTCCTCCCCCAAAGTCCAAGCCATTTAATTGCCTTTTATTAATTAAATGGCTTGCTTACTTATTTTTCAAAACCTCCAGGAAATGAGAAACTCTAAATTAGAAAAAAAAATGTATCTTTTCTATTTACGGAGGCATATTAACTATGCATGGTATATAATTTACTAAAGAGATCACCTGTGTGCTCTCCATCCAAGAATAAGAAACGGAGCCCTTCACAAGGGGTGCATGTATGCCCTTCCAAATCTCATTCTCTCCTTGTCCCCCACTACACTGCCATTTGTAATAAACATCCTCTTGGGCTCCTTATAGTTTTATCATTTTATCACATATTAGTTTTGCCTGTTTGTGAACACTGTATAAATTGAAAGCTTACTGAATATTTTCCTCTATGGCTTGCTCC
This sequence comes from Homo sapiens, assembly GCF_000001405.40. Classification (NCBI taxonomy): domain Eukaryota; kingdom Metazoa; phylum Chordata; class Mammalia; order Primates; family Hominidae; genus Homo; species Homo sapiens. The sequence continues at coordinate 38,152,237 of NC_000014.9, forward strand.
TTTGTTTTGGAGATTTGTTTGTGCTGTGCATGAAGCTACAGTTCATTTATTTTCACTGCAGTTTCATTGTGTCAATTTGTTTATCTATTAAACTGTCAATGGTTTGAGGCTGTTCCATAAAGTCTTTCCATGAATACCCTTCAATCTGTATCTTTGTGCACTTATTTTCCATCAGGTAGATACTAGAAGTAGAATTTCTGTGTCATGGAGTATTTGCATTTTCGACTTTATTAAGGGAGAAAAAATTATTTCCCAAAGTGGTTCTACAAAGTTCAGCAACAAGAGGAAAGATTCCACATCTTCTGCAAACATTTCATTTAGTCAGACCTTTTGATTTTGCTGATCTTATTATTATAAAGTGGAGTCTCTATTTGTTTTTAATTTATATTTCCTTCATTAATAATTAGGTTGACGCTTTTTAATGTTTGTTGATCATTTGAATTTATTTCTTGTTTTTTGAAGCAATTGCCATATTTCTACCATTTTTTTAATTGAGTTGCCTTTTTTATTCTCATTATTTGGAAAAGTGAGTAGAACGAAGGAGTTCTTTTTATGGTCTGAACGCTTGTGTTCTGTCATTTATATTAATTGAAAATTTCTTCTTCCCACTGTGTTTTTATATTTTCACTTTCTTTACAGTGTCTTTTGATGAACAAAAGTTCTACTTTAATGTAGCTGGATTTATCAATTTTGGGGTATTTTGTGGATTATTAAAAACTCTTCAAAAATTTTCTCATATTTTTTTCCAAAAGTGTTGTACTTTTGCCTTTTATTTAAAGTTTTAAATCTACACTGAACTGATTTTTATGTATGTGCATCGGGCAGTGGGAAGGAGATAGGAATCCACTTTGCTTTCCTCCCATCTCTTCTCTACTTGGCTAACCAATTGTCTCAGAATAATTTATAGTAAAATCCATCATTTACTTGCAACGTCATTTCATTCATACATCAATTATGTTTTAGTCTACTTCGGGGCTCTGTTTTAATATCCTTCTGTCTATTTATCCACCCCATTGCCAAAATCATATTACCTTAAATATCATAGTATTATAATGAGACTTGATATGTGGGAGAACAAGACTTCTACCTTGTTCTGTTTCAAGAGCATCTTAGCTTTTTTAAACTTTTACTCATCCATATAAATTTTAGAGTCAGGTTTTCAAGTAGTACGCATACACACTTAAAAACACACATACTTAATGGAATTGGCATTTCTATGATGCTGCATTTTCTAATCTATGGACTTAGTACCTTACTCTGTTTGTACCTCTTTTAATCATTCTCAATAATTTTTTGTATATTTTTGCATAGACATATTGCACTTCTTTTATTTCTATGTGTTTGATATTTTTATGCTATGTTCAATTTTTATTTTCTATTTGATTCTGGCATTTAGAAATACAATTCTTTTTTGTAAACTGACCTTCTATTTAGTAACTTTGATAAACTCACCTATGAATAATTTATTATAGGTTATTTTTGACATTCAATTTATGCAATCATGTCTTCCATAAATAATGATAGTTTTGCTCTATCTATTGAGTGGGTCTCATTATTGTTTTCCTTTAGTCTTTAAATATACTAGATTATTTCAATTGATGGTGTGATGTTTCATTGTTTGAATGTGATAATATTTTGTTTGGCTGTAGCATCTATTTGCATGAGTGGATTGGTCTGCAATTTTCATTTCTTTTGCTGTCCTTGATAGGTTTTGATATTAATGTTATACTTGCCTGATAAAATGAATTGTGTTCTTTCTTTTTACTAGATAAATTTATGTAAGATTGTAACTGTACTTGATTTTTGTTTTTTGAAGCAATTGCCAAATTTTACCATTTTTTAAATTGAGTTGTCTTTTTTATTCTCATTATTTGGGAAAGAGGGTAGAAGGAAGGAGTTCTTTATGTGGTCTGAACACTTGTCATCTGTAAGTTATATTAATTGAAAATATCTTCTTCCCACTCTGTCTTATATTTTCAGATTGTTGTAATTTTTTTCACAACTTATAGAAAAATGATATAAACTTACTTATAGCTTACTCTGTGAGCAGATTTTTAATCACTGTTCCAATTTTTTCTAATTATTAAAGGAATAATCAGGTTTTCTAATTTTTAAACTTTTAGTTTTCTGGGAATTTTCACTTACCTGAATTTTCAGATTTATTCAAATCAATTTACTGATTTCTTATATGATTTTTAATCTGCCTTTAAAAATTTTGTCTCCTTAGAGTTTTGTCAACTTAGTTTATAGTTTCAGAAAAATCAACTTTCATCTTTGTTCTTGTTTTATGTTTGTAGTTTTTTAAAATTATTTTCTGCTTTTTCCTGTTACATACTTTATTTTACGTTTCATTTATTTTGCTGTTTCTCTTCTAACTTTTTAAGGATTATTTATATAATTAACTCATTCTTCAGCCTCTTTTCTTCTGTTATACATTTAAGGCTATACATTTTCATTAAGTGCTGCTTCCAAACTAAGTAAGCTTTAATTTTAAAAGATGTTATATAGTATTTTCATTTCTAAATGTTTTCTAATTTTCTGCATGATTATTTCCTTGAGGCAAAAGTTATTAGAAGAGTGTTCCTCAAGTTCTGAACCTATAGAGCTCTTCTGATTATCTTAGTATTATTCATTTCTAGCCTAATTGCATTGCTGCCCAAGAATAAGGGTGATATATACCAATTCTTAACAATTTTACACTCTTATTTTATTATCCAGTAAGCAATCATTTGTTTATAAATGTTCATCATGTGCTTGGAAATAATGTATAATTGTTTTATAATTCTGAACTATGTTTTTAATACATGTTTATTAATTGTATTGTTGAAATCACCTATATCCATACTGTTTTTTTCTCCTGCTATTCTCTCATTCTCTGAGAGAGCTACATTTAAATTTCCCACTATTTTTATGTATTATTAAGTGTATGCAAATATAAAATTGTATATTTCTGGTTTTATTTTTATATGAAGTTATCCTCTTTATTTCTAGTAATGCATTTTGCCAAATAGAGTAGTTTGTCTCATCTTAATATGACTCTAAAAATTCTCGTTTTATTGCTATTGGTATGATTTTTCCTTTTCATTCTTTTACTTTCAACATTTCTGTTTTCTTCTAATTTTAGCTATCTCTTAAAAACAAAATAGAGTTCAGTTTTATAATTTAGTTTAACAGTACTTGTTTTTTAATTTATTTCAGTTACAGTCAGTATAAAATTATTGACATATTTGACTTTAAAGCTATTATTTGTTTTTCTGCTTTATTTTTCCTGACATTTTATGTTTATTTTTGTTCTGTTTCTTCTTTTCTTTTAGCTTGAATAAGTATCCATATTTTTTTGTTTCCTCTACTAATTCAAAAGTATACATTAAGTATACATTATATTTTTCTTCTTTAAGTGCTTACCCTTACAATTACAACATAATTAATCAAACAATAAAATAAGTAACTTTACTCTTCTTAAACCTTAAAACATATTTACCACATTTTATAAATTGTATGCTATCAACATGTACATTGAGGCTTTGTTTTTACAAAGACATTATGTTTATTATTTATAAGGTTAATATTTGTTTGTATTTATTCACATAGCTACTATATTTTTTTCTTAATTTTTGCATTTCATTGTTTCATCTGGGCTGACTTTCTTCAGTAGAATTTTTTTTTAGTGAGGTTCCACTGGTAGAATATTTTTGGATTTTGTTTGCCTGAAAAATACCTTCATTTCACTCTCATTTTTGAAATATATTTTCACTGGTCAGAATTATAGTATGACATTGATTTATCTCAGTATATAGGGTATATCATAACACTTTTCTGTCTTTCATTGTTGCTGTAGAGAAGTCAACTCAGTCTCACTACTGCCTCTTTGAAGCTAATCTCTCTTTTCTATATGTCTATCAATATTTTTTCTCATTAAAGGTTTACAATTTGCTGTGTGTGGATTTATTTTTATTAATCCTTCATGATAAATGAAGGATAAATTCTTGAATCTGCCTGTAGTAGGCAAAATTCTAAGATGGTCTGCAAGATTCCTACCCTCTGGTGTATATAATCCTCTCCTCTTGAGTTTGGAAGCAACTTGTCAATCTGGTGGGATTTTATTCCTGTGATGAGGTGACAAAGAAGTTTATATGACAAAGGTGAGGGATTTTGAAAATGTAATTAAAATGTCTAATCAGTTGACTTTGAGCAAGCACTTTAAAAATGAGAGGATCCAGGCCTTCCTTGAGACAAAAATTTGGAATAAGAGAAATTTTCCTGCTTGTTTTGAAGAAACAAACAACCATGCATGAACTTCCAGTGGAGGGGTATGTGACAAGGACCTGAGTGTGGATTCTAGTAGCAAAAAGAAACATGTATATATATAAACATATATATATGTCTCTCTCTCTCATATATATATATGAGATATATAGATATATAGATATAGATATATGGCAGATATGGCAACCTCTCCTGGGGTTCCTTCTTCCTGGCTACTATTATAGTTCATTGTTTTCCAGTTATGTTCACTTTTCATTTACAGCTTGATTTAATGAAATCTTAAAAAGGGTGGTTAGTTTTCTAATGCAAATATCTACATATAGATATATATGGAGAGAGAGAGAGAGAGGAGGGAGGGAGGAAGGGAGGAAGAGCATGTTAGTCTTATACTGCAAGGAAAGAAATTCTGTGCACACTACTGAACTTGGAAGAAGACCCTGAGCCTTGGATAAGACCGAAGCCCTGGCCAACACCTTGATTGGAGCCACCTTGTGAGACCCGGAGCAAAGAACTTAACTAAGTTGTGTACAGATTCCTTACCCACAGCAACTGTGGGATAACAAATTTGTGGTGTTTTAAGCTGATAAATTTTTGGAAATTGTTTACATAGTAAAAGGAAACTAACATTGTAGGTCAGTAGTTTTCATCCCTTCTAGAAAACTCTCAGCTATTTTCTTTTCAAATATTGGCTCTGCCCTCACTGTTTTTTTCTTTCAGAAATTTTAATTAAACAAATATTAGACGTTTTTCACTCTATTCTCTATGTCTCAAAACAGATGTTATCTTCTATCTCTTGGTCTTTGTGTAATGTACTCTGGATAATATCTTAGGGTGCCCCTTCTAGTTCACTAATTCTCCATGTGTGTCTGTTCTTCTGTTAACCTGTCAGTCAGTCTTTAATTTAATGATTGCTTTTTCATGTCTAGAAGTTCTAGTTGTTTTTTTTCAAAACTGCTTGTTCATATTCAGGTAAAAATATTTCTAAAGTGTTTTCTATATTTTCCTGCTTTCATTAGAGGTGCAGATATGAGGCATAAAGGAACCATTTTTTAGTTTATTAATATATAATATTTCCTCTGGTTTCCCAATAGAAATAGCATTGACTATACCCCCCAACACACACACACACACACACACACACACACACACACACACACACCATGCACATACATACAAAATTAGTAACTATTTTCTACAATGAAAGTCACCATTATCAGAAATTTAGTTATATCTCTGTTAGATCATTGGACATAACTAGTGATCATAACTCTGTTACAGATTCCTCATTCTGATGAAAATCTGGGGAATGTCAACCATAAAAAAGGAAGAATCATGAAGAGCCATATGTTTGTGTAAAATTCCAGGTCATGAAAACTGTGTGTGCTAGCACCCCCTAAGGCTGCTACCTCTTACATATATGGGGTGGAAGTTTAGGTTTGGACAGAACAGTGCTAGGTGGCTGGGCTAGGACTCTCTTTTGTGCATGTCCTTGTTTCATTCTCCTTCTAGCTTTTACAGTGTATTTCTCTAGCTTCCCCACCACCGCCCCCCACTGAGACAGAGTCTTGCTCTGTTGCCCATAGCTGGAATGCAATGGCGCAATCTCGGCTCACTGCAACCTCCGCCTCCCAGGTCCAAGCAATTCTCCTGCCTAGCTTCCCAAGTAGCTGGGATTACAGGTGCACGCCACCATGCCCGGCTAATTTTTGTATTTTTAGTACAGGCGGGGTTACACCATATTGGCCAGGCTGGTCTTGAACTCCTAACCTCGTGATCCGACCGCCTCGGCTGCCCAAAGTGCTGGGACTATGGGCGTGAGCCACCACACCCAACTTTCTCTAGTCTTTATGAGCTCATTCATGAATAAGCTTCATAGCATTTCATATATAGAGAAGAATTGGAAGAAATTACTTCTAACAAAGTCAATGCTTTCATAGTGATAAAATCAACTGGAATATTGTATTTATAGAAACTTATATTGACCTGACTGCTAAAAAACATAATGCCTGAGTCTATGGGTAAAGTCACCTATTTATCTTTTATATACACCCTCACCCCAGTTTGGAATTCTTTATGGTAGATGTTGCCTTTTCCTTTCATCAGGACAAAGCTCAGCCAGGCTGATCAGAATAAGAGAGGAAAGGGTAAAGTGTGGAAAGGGCACCAGTCAGGAAATCCAGTCACCATGGCACCACTGACTCAGAGATGTTTGCTGGTCTCACCCCTACTCTATTGCTAGTTTCTTTATCTGAAAAAATTTAAATAATTTGAGCAGTCAAAATTCTATGGTTTTAGACATAGCTGAGAAATTTCAACAGCTATAGAAAAGGAAATTATTTTTTAATTTCCTTCATCTCTGCTATTTTTTTCCCTTCCTCTTTGCCTTACGAATATTTTTTATTATGTTTTAAATTATGGGGGAAGAAATCTCTTATACATTTAGATGGATTTTTCCTGGTTTTATTTGTTTTTCTACTCGTGCCAACCAGTGTAATTATTTAATAATACTTACTGCATAACCATGGGCATAGCTGGTAAGCTTTTTGTTACTATTTTTATTCGGCATTGCCAAGAGACATTTGAACCACATACAAAAAACAGTACATTGCAATTTAGGATTTTACAAACACAGACTTATTTCTTTTCCAAGTTTTAAAATTTATTTTTAAGAAAATATTTCCATGTTAATGATAATATTTCCTTGTTACCAGTAAAATATAATCAACTATTTCCTCCATTTTAGAACAAAACAAACCATACCTATCTCAGGTCAAATTCTGTTAAAGGGAGGAACAAAAATATCATATATAATGACTCCTCTAGGCAGACAGGATATCATTAAATAAATTGTTGCTCTAGCTTTGGAAATGTCACCTTATTGACCTGAAAGAATTCCCATAATTCTGGAAGAACAACAATTTATTCCACACACAGGAATAAGAAGAAAATAGGGCAAATGTAAGTTCACCTAAGGATGATTGAATGTCATCACAAATTTGAGTCCTAGTTCTTACCTTCAATTTCTCACTCATGTGTAAGCATAGAAAATAAATGGATAAGTGCTTCCCAAACAACTTAAATGAAGGGACCTGAGGGCATGAGCTCGCCTAAATTCTAGGTCGCAAGAATGCTGACCTAGTCACCTGTCACCAACTTTCTACAAAAAAAGTCTCATTGTAATTTTCTAATGACTCCTTACTGACTTTAAAATGTTAATGTAACTTCCTAACACTGACCTTCTCCTAGAGACTGATAATCAGATTCAGTAAGTCTAATATTTCTTTCTGTATGAGCACATGAAGCTTATCTTTTTATGAGCCATACAAAGAAACCAAAGTAGTCAAATTCTCCTAAACAATTAAAAGTATACTGCACCAACTCCTCATGTCAAGGCTAAATGTCAACAAAGACTGCAGTAGTTAGTAAATGTTTTCATTATAAAATTAAATTTTATTGATCTCTTTTGCATAATCCATTTAAAATTTCTAAACTGAATCTTCATTTTGCAGTACCAAGAATGAAAGTAATTATCTGCTTGCTATTGCCATATTAAAAAAAAAAAGAAATATAGGGAAATGTTTGCTTTAAATGTATAAATCCTATTTATTTCCTATTGGCTATTGGCATGTAAAGAGTTGAATTATTTGACCAAAAAAAAAAAAAAATTTTATTTGGCAACCTCTCCTGGGGTTTCCCTCTTCCTTGCTACTATTATAGTGGATTATTTTTCAGTTTTGTTCACTTTTCATTTACAGCTTGATTTAATGAAATCTTAAAAAGGGTAGTTAGTTTTCTAATGCAATCCAGATGAAAATAGTAGTGTAATTATTACCACCTTCAAATTCATTCTGGCTTCAACTTTTTTTGTCTTTATAATTTGGTACTTTCAAATAACATTTTAATGATGCATAAAATTAATAAAGGGTGAGTTATATTACCATTGTGACTGCTTGTCTGGTAATAAATGGAAGACTGAATCCTTGATGGAATTTTTATAACAGGAAAAATAATTAAATGGCCATATCATTATTATCAAGGAGGAGTTATTAAAGTACAGTGTATTGCCTCTTACACAAAAGCATTTTGTTCAGCAATTTGAAAATGAAAATGGAAAGAGTAGTACATGGGGAATTGGCTTTATGCATTAAGATATACAGTCACAGCAACTGTATAGGTATATGATTTAAAATATAATGGGCAAAGTATTGTGCAAGAAAAAATAAGTAACAGTTCCCTCCCACAAGAGGCTGTGCTTGAATGCTGAAGTAACATCAACACATACATGTAAAGGAGAAGCCTGTGAGACTGGATTAGGCAAAAGAAAAAAAATATGTCCTTTTCTCTAGGAATTTCAGACTAATGAAAAAAATGGACGTTGTTCAAAGGAATATGAGTTGGTGAGCTGCAACATCACCATATCTGTAGTAGTGTCAATATTTCCATTTTATTCAAATACAATGGGCACTACTTTTTTCTTTTATTTCTTGTCATTGTTCTCTTATGCATAGAATAAAGAATTTTAAAACCACAAATTTAAAGGATATATTTCAATTTTTAAACATTTTGTCATATGTGTAATCATATATTACCTATTCTGTTTTAACCTTTTAAAAGAAAGGGGTAATATGAAAAACTCCGTGGTAAATCAGACTTCTATCACTTGTTTTAAATTTTGGTATCTAGTCCATGGTGTCATTCATTTATTCATTCATGCACTAAATGTATGTTGAGCACTTACTAAATATCAGGAACACTTAATAGGTTTAGATTGATTTACTTCACTTGATTTACATAGCAATCAGCCAGCTACTTAGTAACTTGTGTTTGAGCAGTAACAGGGCGCAGAAAATCTTAGCCCATCTGTGGTAGCTTAAAAACTTGAAAGCACAGTTGGCATTTACTTTTTACCTGGAGGAGAGCACTAGAGAGTTCAGAAGATCCCCCCTTCATCCAGTTTTTAAAATATGCCAAAGAAAGAACACATAAATGGAAAAGTACTACAATATTTATGGAGGGGGATAAAGTGAAAGTATTTGGTAAAAAAGTATTCTTGGACAGATAGGAGTCTGCTATGAAACTTATTTTTTTAAAGAATTTCTCCAAGTCGTTAATTCTAAGGTTTCTGCCTCTGCTAGATCCTTTTTATTCTGTGTCTACTCACACCCCTGATTGATCATCCCAGGCCCCTTTGGTAGGGCTGCAGGAAAAGCACCTAAGCTGTGAGGCGACTGGTGGAGGAGAAAGAACTGGGTCCTCCAATTCCCGCTAGAGTAGACCCGAGACTCTCACTCAGGCAATCCTCCTCTAACCCTTCTCTCAATCATCTCCACTTTGACCACCTCTCAATCCAACGAAGGTGGTCTCAGCCTAGTCTGCTTCCGCATACAGCGTCTGAGGCTAGAATTCCAGGCCATTCTGGAAACTGTTGTTCGCCTAATTTTACATGAAAGAAGATGTTGGTGGGGTAGAAAAGAAGATGCCTTTCTCACACATTTTCCCAGAAAGTTCTGTCTTTCTCTCCATCCCCAGCAGGGATAGGAAAGGAAACTGTGCACACATCACAGGAAGGGTGCCAGTTATACTTCATTTATTTTGTTCTGCTTGGTTTTGTTTAAGCTTTTCTGGCCTAGACAAAAAGTTAGCTAATTTGGCTTCACTAAGCCAGTGTATGGTATAGGGGACATTTGGGCCTCCATGTTTATTTAGAGCTCTTCATTTTGGATGTGAGGCCTGAACTTACTAAGTTCATAACTTACTAAGTTCATGCTGGCAGATCCATTGCCAATAATTAATTAGAGAATCTTAAAAAAAAAAAAAGCCAGAGAACACACACACAGAGGCATACACCATCAGGTGAGCTAGGTACAATAAAATAACAAAGAAAACAATTCAAAGAAAGCAAGAAATTCCAGGAAAGAGAAAAAACATATTTCATGGGTATGGAAGTTGAGATCAGCTCTGTGCTTGAGAGCTGAAGTGGAGTACGAATAAACGTTTGGGGAAAAGCAGAGACTGAGAAGCATATACCTATTATTGGTGAGTTCTTTATCAACAATCTGTTATGAATTAGTTGTATATCCTTGGGGAAAATATTGCTCTGCTTTTAATTTTCTTGTTTTTTAAAAAGATGAGATGACCTTTCAGATTTTTCCTAGCCTTACTAATAGTGATAGTAACAATAATTTCTAATAGCAGCTATTATTTATTGAGAACCTACTATATTATCTGAAATAATTCTCTCAAGCAGTAGTCATCATCCTAACAGAAGAAAAGATGGCTCAGAGCTGTCCAGTGCTTATACACAGTCCTACGTTTTACCTACAGAATATTTTCATGAGATGCAAAAAGTTAAGAGAAATGGATAACAACTATTAATTAACAATACATGAATAATTTCCACATTTACAATGTATTGCCTAATCTTATAATAAATGTTTATTTATGGGCCTATTGTATAGCAAACGATAAAGTAGTATACCATAAAGCACTAGGCTGGGAACAAGGGACCTGTCCGGGGATGCGGAGCTGGTCATTACACCCCGTGGGTCGTTTTCACCATCTCTGAACTAGACCTGTGTTTCTGAATACAGATGAAAAGTTTGGGGGTCTGTGAAACTCCTGATATTGTATATAAAATTATAAGATTTGTATACTTATGTGGATATATCCAACATTGTGGGGATAGGGCCCCAAACTTTCACTAATGTCTAGAACAATGGTTTTTAATCACTAAAATTTTAGCATCGTGATTCTGGATGATATTGAAGTAATCTTCAAGCTCTGGCTTGCATGGCTAGATATACAAAGTGAGTGTCTCCTTGCTTTGCGCTTTGCTTTCTATTTGTGAGGTTCATTCTGAGAGGCATATCTCTTTCACCACTCTTTCCATGAGTGGTCCACCTGAGCACCTAAATCCTTCCATAGAAACTCTTTAAAACGCCCCCTGAACTCTCTTAAAAGGACCTCAGATCAAAAATGTAAACAAACCAACAAACAAATTAAAATATGCATTCTACAAGGAAGAGTACATCAAAATAAAACAGCCTAGCTCTTGCTTTATAATGAGAAAATGAACCAGAAACACAGTTTTAAGAAACTGGTTATACGAATCATAATGAACCATAGTACGTACTTAACATTTTCTATTCTTTTTCTTTTTCTTTATTATTATTATTATTTTTTTTTGAGACGGAGTCTCGCTCTGTTGCCCAGGCTGGAGTGCAGTGGCCCAATCTTAGCTCACTATAGCCTCCATCTCCCGGGTTCAAAAGATTCTTGTACTCCAGCCTCCTGAGAAGCTGGTATTACAGGCGAGCACCAACACATCCAGCTAATTTTTTATATTTTTAGTAGAGATGGGGATCTTACCACGTTGCCCAGGTTGGTCGTGAACTCCTGAACTCAGGCAATCTGCCCACCTCAGCCTCCCAAAGTGCTAGGATTACAGGCATGAGCCACGGTACCTGGCCCTACTTCCATTTTCTAAAAAGACTTACTGGCTGGGTGCGGTGGCTCATGCCTGTAACCCCAGCAATTTGGGAGGCTGAGGCGGCCAGATCATCTGAGGTCAGGAGTTCAAGACAAGCCTGGCCAACATCGCGAAACCCCGTCTCTACTAAAACTACCAAAAGTAGCTGGGCTTGGTGGTGGGGGCCTGTAATCCTAGCTACTTGGGAGGCTGAGGCAGGAGAATCGCTTGAACCCAGGAGGCAGAGGTTACAGTGAGCTGAGATGGCACCACTGTACTCTAGGCTGGGCAACAGAGCGAGACTCTGCCTCAAAAAAAAAAAAAAAAAAAAAAAAAAAAGAGACTTATTGATGAGTGCAACCTCCAAAATGCAAAAGTAGCGTATCTGGCATATTTGAAAACCACAGTGAATCATTTTCAAACAAACCCTGCTCTGTATGGCAAAGTGATTTCAGTAAGAATTATGAAACAAATATTAACAATAATGGCCAGAAAAAAGTTATCTATAACAGCAAAAAGTAATTAAATATTAAGTCCTAAAAACAAAAAGGTGTTGGATTAACACTGCTTTATTATGTTAATGTCTTTTTTGAAAGAAAAGAGGGAGGCACAAAAAAAAATACTTCCAAAGGAGTGAAATCCTCAAGGATCAGATAATAATTTGCATGTAAAATGACAGAACTGAAGAAAGGCACATTCTGTTGTTTCAGCTTTATAATCCCTGTGATATTATTGATCATTTCCAATCTACTGTTTAAATGCAGAAATAAGTAGCAGCACAGGGGTTGGAAACATGAACTAAATCTGAAGCAAGTTTGAGTAATTAGATCCCTGTCAAACTTACTCTTGAATTAGAGATGTAGCTGAGTCTTGGAGGAATAGTGTATTAACTAGGAGTCTTCTAAACTAACTACTATGTAGAATACAGTTTTTGTTAAATGATAAGAAATAAAGTGTGCTCATTTGAACTTTGCAGATATATTAGTATACTTAATTTTAACTATAACAATTGTTTGAACATAAACCAAAAAATTATTTTTCCACTGCAGTTATTTTATCACTGACAATGCTTAGCATTGATGATACATGGTGAACATTAAAAAACAGACCCATTTTTAGTTGGCTTTATTATTGTTTTAAAATTCACTAGAGTCAACGCCTATCCTCTGTTAGTGTCTATACCAAGTATGGACCACTATCTGACCTTGATATGCCATTGGGGTAGGAGGAATAAATCACTTTTAATTCTTCAAAATAAATTACATTTTCCCTTAAAAAAAAAAAAAAAAAAAAAAAAGAACATATGATCAATTCTGTTACCAGACCACCTTTTTGCTGTCCAGGATGCTGGCTTTAGGAAGACTTTTCCAAAAGCATGATCTATGAAAAGCATTTTACTTGTTTCCAATGACTATATGGTGAATAACCTCTAAGATGTTAAACTGGATGATTTTTGTAGCAGATAAAAACTTCTTTCTGTTTGGGAAGGTATCAGATGTAAGTCAAGCTATGCCAATCACTATCCCTGCAGTTTCTCTAAGCTACAATATCTCTAGCGGTAGAAAGTAAATTATGCTTCTTGTCATTACCTTTTGGGAGTAAAGTTAAAGTAAAAAATGTGTCCGGTGCTGAACACTCTCTTCTGTTCCACTGAGTTGGCTCAGTACAGAAGATTAGGTGAGAAGATGAGGGAGAGGAAACAATCCAGGCAGTAGAGTTTAGAGGCAGCAGAGAACAGCTTCTTTAATGGAAACTGTACAACCTGACATTAGTTATGTTTTCATTAAGTTTGTGTTTAGTAATTTAGTATTGCTCCAGCACTTAAATCAAAATATATTACCATGATTTGTGCTAAGATAGTTTTGCCTCTGCCCACACCAATCTCTCTTACAAAACTAGAATTTCTACCATGGCATTAGACACTGGAACATAGCTCTTATTCTGATACTTTGAAAAAAGATCTTTTCAAGCTTTTCTTTGAAGTAGGTTCATAACTGAAGAAATTTGTAGGTTTGGAAAGTCTGCGATATTCAGCTGCTTACTCATTTTTGTAATGGTCACCTAGCAAAAACATACCCTAAAATATTTGGAATGTTTTAATAGTTTCAATTAATTAGACTCTGTATAATCAAGAGGGGAGTAATGCAAACAATTGACATGTGTGAATTTAAAACATAGAATGCCCCAAGCTTTCTTTGTGTGAGAAATTTTACTTTAAGATGGTCTATTTTGTCTGCAGAAAATATGAGTTACATGCAGAAAGTTTTCCAAGAGCAAAGAGTTTAGGGATTATTGAGTTTTTTAAGGCTAGCAGATTTTTCTTCCCCATCTAGTGCTACTCAAAGCCTTCAATATGCTAATCACAGCCAGGAGGGGGATATGGTATGGTGACATGTTTCCAAATTTACTACAGAATTCTTTTTTTCAGGGGGTGTCTTCTGGAACTTAGCATTCCATAGAACCTACTTAAGAAACTTTTCTATGTCTTTACTATGTCTCAGATGGAACCCATGGGAAAACTGCATGTTTCCGCCCCTAAGATCTCTGTTTCCCTTCACTGAATTCCGCATCTTGTGCTTAGAAACTTGTGTCCCACATTTTCCTGCTACCAGCAAAGGAAACAACCATAATCTTCCCAGTTGCGATGAATTGGAGAGTCTCTAAAGTGTTCCCTAAGGAAATGTGATGCTATGGGAAGTACATGAACCTGAAATAACGTTTAAATGCCTAAAATGGTGCTTACCACATTGTAGATACACAGTAAATGTCAATTTGTTCCCTTCTCCAATTATCTTTGAAAAATGAAGATTTCTTGTTAAATTTGTTTCAGAGTAGATATTGAGTACAAGCCTACAATCTCACTAAATGCTATTTGTTATTTAGTGACTGTGATATAGTGAGCATGTGATATGGAGTCCACCTTAGATGAAAAACTGTTAAAATAATTTAGTAATAAGACACTCTTATCTACAAGACAAAAATAATCAGTGGACATATGTTAGCCAGTGAGACCCATGGGATCTGTCAGCCCTAGCTAAAGAGAGTGACTTACAAGAGAGACTTTGAAATAATAATAACATTTGATTTAGATGTCAATCTCTTGCATTATATAATTATACAAAGTCATTTGGAAGCTAAGACATTATGAGAAAATCATGTTATTTAAAAATTATGAGTGACTTACCTGATTTGGTGCAAGAGCATTGTGTCTCTAGCTTCTACTCACAATCTAAGCTAAGTAGTTTGATGCACGTGGCCTTTGAATTTGTTCCAAATTTTAAGATGTATGCCATTTAATTTTAGGATAGGACAGAAGTGGGAACTGTTGGGAGGGAAGGAAGTTACATTCATTTCCTATATATGAAGAGTAGATGTGCTCTCTTGTTTAATCCTAACATCAATGCTATGGAGGGCTTATTAATATCTCACTTATACAAATAAATCTGGGTGCACGGATCAGAAGTAAAATGCCCAGGGTTACGTAGTTATTAAGTCTGGACAGAGTCGGGATTGTGAACCCAGATTATTGGGTTCCAAAGTTTACATCTTTTCCATCACTAGTGGTGTTGCAGCAACATTAGGATTTTGTTTAATATTTTTAATATTATTTTTAATAATATTTTAAAAATTTAATAGTAAGTTTTCAAGTGAATTTAAAACAAATCAGTTAGCAAAAATGTAATTTTCCATGTGATCCTGAAGTAACACTATTGATACTAGACAAGAGACTCATGCATCCTTCTTACTTGTGATGGTTATTTTATGTGTCAACTTGACTAGGCCACTGGGTGCCCAGACATTTGATCAAACATTATCTTGAGTGTGTCTGTGAGCACGTTTCTGGATGTGAGTTAACCCTTGAATCAGTAGATTGAGTAAAGCCGATTGTTCTTCCTAATGTTGGTGGCCCTCACCCAATTAACCAAAGACTTGACAGAACAAAAGCCTTAAGTAAGAAAAAATTCCTCCTGCCTCTGACCACTATGAGCTGAGGCATCCGTCTTTTGTTGCCTTTGAACTCAAACGAAAATACTGGCTCTTTTGAGTCTTGAGCCTGCCTGCTTTTGAACTGGAACATATACCATTGTCTCTTCTGGTTCTCATGTCTCTGGACTTAGACAGGAACTACAATATCAGCTTTCCTGGTCTCCAGCTTGCCAGCTGCAGATCTTGGAACTTCTCTGCCTCCATAATCACATGAGCCAATTCCTTGTCATACATCCCTTCATATATACATATATATATATATATATATATATATATATATATACACACACACACACACACACACACACACATATATAAAGTATATACACATACACATCTGACTATATATATATGTATAGACACATATATTTATATATCCTACCGGATCTGTTTCTTTGGAGAACTCTGGATAATCTGGAGAATACATTAAGTAAGGTAATTTCTGTGGGAAATAAAAATAAAAAGTATTATTTATTGTTGCCAGCAGCTTAGTATTATCACTGTGTGACTATTTAAATTATTTCCATTATAATCTGTCTTATAGAGAAGTTTCGTATTTTGTGATTTTTATTTGCTTTCCTGTCAGGGAAAATGCTTGTTTCTGGAGTGTATCCAAGCCCTGTCACTTTTTCAGATATATGGGAGCACAGAGTTCACTAAAATTTGCTTTCCCTGAAAAGGCACATCTGTCCTGTACTGGGAACTTGAAGTATCTTTAGAGTAATGGTTCTAAACTTGGGAAATCTCAGTCCTTGTTGGCACCTCTGGAACCTCTTACCACGAACACACACACACACAGACACACACACACCACACATACACACACACAGATGCACATGTGTACACTCACATAAGTTTGTATCAACTTTAGTTTTAAAACCCTTTTTCTGCTATCCCTATCAAAGTCTCTAATGTTTTCTCTGGGAAACAACTGAAAAGAATTACAGGAGTCAGAGAAAAGTGGACTCAGAAATGAGTGCTTATGGATGACAGATTAGAAAACAAAAGAGAAAAGAATGAAGACCAAGGGAAGACCTGAGATCTGCTGGGGGGCGAACATTTTCTATTAGGCACTTATTTCATTCAACACACTTATGAAACACCAAATATGTATAAGACACTTTGGAATGCATGGAGATACATCAAACATAAAATTTGCCCTCATGATTTTACAATCAACAAGAGAAAACATTACTTGTACATATGAATCTAAAAACTGGTAGGTGTTATAACAGAGGTTTGAGTACAATGATATAGGGCTGAGAGAGGATATTATCATCTGGGGTGATCCGGAAAGGCTTCCTGGAAGTGGTAGCATTGGAAGATGATGTTGAAGGATGAGCAGACCTTGGCAATTGGAGATGTGCATTATGCTCCAGGCAGAAAGAATAGGATAAACAAAGTCATGGAGGAAAGACATGTAGGGCTATGTGTGACAGCATGGCTGGACTAGAGATCAGACATGGGGTCATTGTAGGTATTGTGGGAAGCTTTGGTGAAAATAAGAAGGGTTTTTCCCTTTCATTAGTCATCTTGAACCTTAGAAAGATTTAGAGCAAAGTTACCTGAAGAGACATGTCCTTTTGCAAGAGTGATCTGACAGTGGTGTAGTCTGGATTGAAGCAATGACAGACTGGAATAGTGAAAAACCTGCAGGGAAGTTAACTTGATAACTCAAATGGAATAAAAGAGAAACAAAAGGAATGCATTGCAAAGGTTTATTTTTTCCATAATACTCTTCTAAGGCTGTTTTGAAATGAACTTGGGCTAACATTTTGATGGCAAAACCACCACTGAGGCATGTTTGCAACAGCATTGCCAGTTCATTGGGCGGATAGGGATTACGGGGACTTCTCAGTCACTAATGCCTGAAGGTGTGAAAACACACAAGATGTCCAAGTAGAAATAATGAAGTTTAGAGACATAAAACAAATTTGGACACAGAAACCCTGTCAATACTCTTTAATCAGAGGAGCTCTGGATCAGAGACTTGTAGTCTTGGGGTTAAAGGAAGTAAGTATCAACTAACCATCAGAAGTGAGATATACACACTGTATATTGTGTGGCCAGAGGTTTTAGATAATAGAATTGGGCCGCCTGTGTTCTTGTTGATTCCCTCACATTTTGAGAATGAACACACATTTTGAAAAACCAATCCACAAACACTGCCCACAGTGACTTTATTTAAGTATCCTTCCCTCTGGCTGATGTATGATTTCATTATCTCACATATTTTATGTTTTCTGATTGAAGGTGAGCGAAGTACAAGCTATTTTGTAGCTTGTTATATAAAATGCTTGTTAATGAAAAAGCACAGCAGATTTAAATTTACTTAATGTTCATTCTCACTTTTTTTTGCCTTCACATAGCATTACCCTTCCTTTTATCATATTTTTGAATCTCAGAAAAATATTTTTCTCTGAATTTAAGAACCTATTTCCAGTGATCTGAAAGTTTTATTATACAAAATAAAAAGGAGAGACAAAAATTATGTGCAAGATCCAAAAAGAATGTTTGTTTAGTGAATCAGAAACTAATTGAGGTAAATAGAAAGCATGTAAAATAAAATCAGCAGTATTTTATAGCATGTACAATGGTGTACATATTTCTGTCACTTTGAAAAATGGCTTTTAAAATTTGCTAATAGTGTTTCCAAATTGCTAAATTGATTGTAATTTAATAGGCAGATTTTAAAAAAACATTTTGTTTGCTCATTTTGCAATGCTTACTTGAAAAAGAAGTGAAAAGTTATGCAGATTAAAGCCTTCCCAGCATTAGGGGAATGGCCAAGAAAAGAACATATCATGTCTACTCTACCAGCCTGACTTGAAAAAAAAATTGGTTTACAATTTATTTGAGTAAAAACTAAAGCATGTACTCTCTTATTTATATAGAAATGCTAAGTTAAACATTTATATGTGAAGTCAGGAAATTATATAATTTTAGAGAAGAAAATATACTGTATGATTGAATTAAAATGGGAATACAATTCTAATATATATCCTTTATTCTAGCTATAAGTTTTCCATATTTAAGCATGTCTGCAGTCAAGGTTAAATATCAAAAATGTCTGAAAATGTCAGATATTGGGCTAATTTTTTACTTTTCTATGGTACTAAGGGACTAAAATTGGACAAATACATAACCTAGGCAAATAATGCAGATTCTTCATTTCAGTCAAGATTTTCAGCTCTCTCCTGCAAAATATTTCACCACAGCTAGTCAGTGGTAGCAAATTTAAGAGATGTCAGTTCTATTTTCTGCACATGTGCTTCTTCTCTGGTGAAGGTACCATTGTTTTTGAAGCTTTTCATTCCTGAAATTGTTTGTCTTCACTCTCTTGACCCACCCAAGGATCAGCTTAGACAGGATTACATCTTCAAGATCCAACTCAAGGGCTTACATAACCACTCATCTGTGACCATTAAGGACTTGGGCATTCGGCCAAGTCTTCCTCTTTGCCCCACTCACCTACACTTTTAGTGACCACGTGGATGAATCACTCTATAACCTTGCCAATGATTTTTGCTCATACTCAGCTCCAGTCACCCAAAACCATGCTGTAGATATTCCTGTTTCTAAGTCTTTTCCACTTTTCAAGAGACACCTATATTCCTAAGCACCAACATTCTTCTCTGTCGATATCCTTGAACCCTTCCATTTCTTTCATGTTCTTACTCACACTGAACCTATTTTTTTACTTCATTGACACTTCCTGCCTTTTCACTACTTCTTTTCCTCCCAGTTAATCATTTCCCTACCAGCTTCACTTATTGATTTTAAATAAAAAGACTTCACCATCCATAAACTTAGTATTTTATTTACTGCATTCTCAAATACCTTATTCCTTGTTCTTTCATTTGGTCATACTATAACCCTGGTTCAACTCAACTTTCTACTTTTTCTACTCTGATACCCAGATAGATGACTCGTAGAAAACAAGTTATACAAGAAGGTGGATTGATTTCATTAAAAATCTATAGGTTCCAACCTTAGACTGATACATAAACCTTCTTCATAACTGTGCCCCCAACCTGACTGGTTGGACTTGCAACAGCTGTGCTTAGCCTCTGACTCTCTCCTTGTGCTTGTGTCCCACCACTTCTCTTTTGATTTCAGCAGAACCTATTGTTTCCAGTTTCACATACGAAATAGTAGGCATCAATAAGCCACTGAGAGTTTGGCATTCCACTGACGAATATATACCTCCCTTCTTCTGATCTACAGATCTATATATCAACCCATCTACTAGACAGCTCTTTTGGAATGTCCTGAAAGTACTTCTTTGCTCAAAATGAAACATGCAACCATCTCTATATTGATTATTTTAATATTTCCTATAACCAGGTAACTAGCTACCTGATTGACTGGATTAATGAAATCCTGTTTCTTATAGGAAATCTAGTTTACTAGAAAACTAGAGCCTACATTTCTCTCCAGTCTTTAAACTCTTTTCATACTTAGTGTCAAAATTCTTCAATTTACAGTGACTACCATTCGATCCAAGTTTAATCATTTATTGCCCCATGTTTTCCAAATGCTTTAGATATTTAAATTCCAACTCTCCATTAAAGCACCCACCTCCTCAAATTTAGTAACAATATCTGAAATTAATTTTATTTTCTGTAGAAACCGCTGTTTAGTAAGTGCTTAATAAGCGCTTTCTTGTAAGATATAAAATGATGTAGTCATGACTCAAAGAAGACAAACAATAAACTAGGATGAAGCTAATAAATCTGTTCCTTGAACTAAAAGTCTGCCATTGAGATACCGTTTTGTAGTATATGAACCAAAGTTCACTTATTCCTTCGTTAATTTTTGTTTATTAAATAAAACAAAACAACATAACTTCAGAGCTCCGTAAGTAAGTTTTTTGAAGATGTAAAGACAAGCTCCAAAAGATTTTGGTTTACCAGAGTCCCCTCAGTGAGTGGTCATGACAAGCCAAGCCTCTTCCCTCTGGTCACATATTCTTTCCACAATACCATAAAACCAAGACAAAAGAATGTTGGTCTCGACTGCAATATACATGGATGACAAGAGAAAGAGGGAGTCAATCAATTGCTAATTTCTTATATTTGGGGTTTTAAAAAAAATGTGTACCAGCTACTTTTCCCACTATGTTCAGGAGAGAAGTTCTGTTTCCTACATCCATTTTCTTCCAGACGTTACTACAAAACTATTGTTTGATAATTTGGTAGTAAAAGAATGTAACCTACTGTGAAACACTTAAACAACAAAACTGTGGCTTCAATTTACCTTGACTGGGATGAGTATAAGGAAGATATTAGGAATATTTAATCCAACTATTAATGGGGTTGGATATAAACAACTATCTCTCCTATAATTTAAAAACTTGATATTCTTTATTATGCTCTCTTTTAATTGTGGCAAAATCTTTATTAATTTAGATATTGCTCCAAATATTTTTCCATTAGAAATTGTCTTGTTGCACTAACTTTTTGGTATTGTTTTTATTTCATAACAATTACACTTCAGCCTTTTTAGCTGCACTGATTCATTCCTTAAAGCACAAAAGTAGCATTTTCAAGACCTCAGGGTAATGAGTAGAATTTGGAGAAATGGTTTGAAAGAAATAATAAATTAAGATCTAAATAATTAAGGTCTAAAATAGTTATGACAGTCATAGATTATGATTTATCACAACACCACAATCATCCTTACAAGATGCCTTATTATTTTATTGGTAATAAAAAATCTTAATGATTTACTCTAAATGTTACATATTTGTAGTAGCAATAAGCGCTTAATCATAATCACTTGTAGATTATAAACTCATTGAAGATAAAGGTTGCTTTATTTACATTTATTTTTACTATAGTACCTACTCTCAATTCTGTACTCCTCCAGCATTGAGTGTTTGGCTCTTAGATCACTTATTATAATCTTCCTTTTGATGGCTAATTGGTTAATGGTCAATCTTTTCTAGATTATAAGCAGGAATTGGTCAGTCACTTCCAGCTAAGCAGAAAGAGCTGAGCTGACAAAGAAAACAACACAGCCATGAAAAAATTGTGTAGCCAGAGTAGTGAGGCACTTTGGAGAAAATGATCAATATCTAGATAGGACTTCTGTAAATGAGACCCTTTAGCATACTGTGTAAACTTCCTGGGTATAAGAATAGCTAATAGAAAGACACATTCTGATTCGGAGCTTCTGCAGTACAATATATCTATGGAGACCCAAGACTAATGAAGGCTCTGTATACTTGCCTGTTTACATGCCTGTATTTCCTCCAGACTGTAAGCTCCTTCTAGGTAGTAACTGTGTCTTTTCATCTATACATCCTCCATACCTACTCCAAGTTTCTGGCACCCTGTGCCTTTTCTTTTTTTTTTTTTTTTTTTTGAGACGGAGTCTCGCTCTGTCGCCCAGGCTGGAGTGCAGTGGCGCGATCTCGGCTCATTGCAAGCTCCGCCTCCCGGGTTCACGCCATTCTCCTGCCTCAGCCTCCCAAGTAGCTGGGACTACAGGCGCCCACCACTACGCCCGGCTAATTTTTTGTATTTTAGTAGAGACGGGGTTTCACCGTTTTTAGCCGGGATGGTCTCGATCTCCTGACCTCGTGATCCGCCCGCCTCGGCCTCCCAAAGTGCCGGGATTACAGGCGTGAGCCACCGCGCCCGGCCCACCCTGTGCCTTTTCAAAAGTGTTATTTGAGACTGAGTAAATTCTTAGAATGCCTGGCCATTTACATGGAATATTTCTCCATAAAAGCCAGGTCATATATTCATAGCTATGCTGATATGAGCATGTTCATGTGTGAGCAAGTACAACAATCTGAAAACTTCTACTGAAATGCCAAAAATGTAGACAAGCCTCTAAACTTACTAGAAACTACAGTCCCTTGATTCTCCTACCTGCTCACTCTCCTTCACCCTCTTCATGGCCTTTGTCCCTCCTTTCCCCGATTCCATGGTCAATCATTAAAATCGCATTCTTTCAAACCTCCTGAATTCCATTGCCTCCTCTTTGTTTTACTTGCTTGACTAAACCACAAGTCTGGTTAAATTCATCTCCCTGCCCACTCCATGTCTCTGCCTATACCATTAAATATAATTGGAGTAAAACACAGAATTACAAAAATTAATTTATTTTAAAATTCCTAGTTGTTCATTTAATGGGGTCATTCACAGTCCCAGGCATCCATATTCTACTTGCCCATGGCATTCACTTTCACCACTCTCCTTTTCTTCTTTCCTCTAAAACTTCAAACAACTCCCCCCAGTCCTTGCTCACAACTGAAGGCTATATTATCAACTCCCTGAAAGAAACTAAAGCATTCAAGAAAGAACTTTCACAAACTCCTACACATTTATCCTCATTCACCATCTGTGACCATTTACTCTTCCTCCTTTTACAATGGATAAACTATTAATTCCCCTTGCTAAAACCCAGATTTTGCTCATTCCTTTATCACTTATTCAAAAATTTTCTGTATCCTTTATTCTCTCATTTCCTTCTTAAAGATCATTCACATCAGCATGCAAATAAGCTGTTATTTTTCTCATTTAAAAAACAACCCTCTTGATTCTACTTCCTCCAGCTATTCCCCATTTCTCTGCTCTATTTTACAAAGAAAACGTCTAGAAATATTAGTGTAAACTTGATGCCTCCAATTTAACTCTTTTCCTAGTCTCCTCAACCACACCAATCAGGTTTTTGCCTTTAACACTCCACTGCAAATAATCTTGTCAATGTCCTAGCTGACCTCCATGATATGGGTGAATTCTTAGTTTCTGTTTTTATTTGATTAATTAGCAGCATTAGACTTGAAACACATTTTTCACTTGGCTTCCAAGAACCCACACTTTCTTGGTTTTCTTCCTATGACACTAGCTACTCCTTTTGTCTCACCTTTTCTGGTTCTGCCTCATTTCTGACTCTTAACATTACTCAGTACCTTGGTGATCTTATCCAGTCTCATGGCTTTAAATATGCTGCTGACACCCAAATTCGTATCTCCAGCTCCTGCCTCTCTCCTCTGAACACCAAATGCCTATACCGATGCTCTTCAATTTATGATAGGGTTATGTCCCAATAAGCCCATCATAATTTAAAATATTCTAAGTGGAAAAAGCATTGAAACTATCTTAAGTTGTTACATCTAGCCCATGGAACATCATAGCTTAGCCTAGCCTACCTTAAACATGCTCAGAACACTTACATTTGCCCACAGTTGGGAAAAAAAAATCTACTGAATTCAGTGTCTATCTTATAATAAAGCACTGAATATCTCAAATAATTTCTTGAGTACTGTACTGAAAGCGAAAAACAAAATGATTATATGAGTACTTGAAGTATGGTCCCTACTGAATGTGTAGCACTTTCACACTGTTGTTGAGTTGAAAAATTCTAAGTTGAACCATAAGTAAGTCAGGGACCATCTGTGTACAATTCCTACTGACATCTAAATTTGTCTAATAAACATCACAAAACAACCTGTCCAACATAATTTATGATTCTCCCTCTAACCAAAACTACACAACCTGCAGCCTTTTCCATGTCATGCAACAGAGACCGTTTTTTCCAATTTCTCTGGCACAAGATGTTGAAATAATTCCAACTCTTCTCTTTTTGTCATATTGTGTTTCCAATTTGTCAGCAAATTCTGTCAACTATGCCTTCAAAACATATCCAGAAAATGACCACTTTTTGCTATCTCCCCTCCTACCACTGTGGTCCAAAGAGCCATAATGATGGATTGCTTGGATTATGGAAATAGCCTCCTAACTATTCTTTCTGCTGCCATTCATTCTCTTCTTCAGAAAATTTTCAGCACAGCAGCCAAAATGATTCTTTAAAATGTTGTGGCTTCCGATGTCCCGGAATGAACGCCACAGCTGTTATAATGGCCTACAGGGCTCTATACCATCTACTCCATTTCTTACCCCTAATAGACCTCATATGCTACCTTCTTTCATGTTCACATCACTCCAGCCACAGTAACCTCCGTGCTCTTCCTAGGACACAACAGACTTTTCTGTCTCAGGACCTACACTCGTGGAGTTCCTACTTCTAAGAATTTTCTTCTCCATGTAGCTCTGCACAGCTTAGTCTTTCATTCCTTTCAGGTCTTCTTCTCATTGAGATCTTACCTGGCTTCCTTAGATGAATTGCAATCTCCATTCTCTCTACTCCTCTTCCCTGTATATTATTTATCACCATCTAGTAAATATTTCACATAATTTTCTTATTCATTTTGTTTTTGTCTCTTCTATCCTAAAATATAAGCTTCATGAGGGCAAGAGATTGTGTGTCTTTAACAGTGACAGGCTTCTAGTAGGTGATTAGCAGATATCTGTTGCAAAAAAATGAAAAAGATGGCAAGCAACAGCAATGACAGAGAAAAACTGACTGATTTTCTAAATACTGAAAAATATAATAACAGGGTGAAAAGGAAAAAAAACTTGCAGATAATTAATTTTAACCAGCAGGAAGTTCATTCTGGTTGGAGAAGTAAAAAGCACGCAGTGTATAATTTTGCCCCTTAGAGGAAAAGTTTCAGTAAATGTCGTTAATATAAGAGAACCTAGAACTGTCCCCATAGGGCAGATCCTCATCTCTTTTACCAGTCTTTATAACTGACTTAAAGAAAGCAAAGTGACCCATATCTAGCTCATTTAGTAGATCCTCAATAGATGTTCACAGACTGAGCAAAAAGTAATGACTTATCAGTGAAAGAGTTTATTTGATATTACTTCCTGGATTCAGGGAGAAATACAGTGAGTAACTAAGATACATGTTTTACACACTGGCAAACTTCATTTTGTTTGTTTGTTTGTTTGTTTGTTTTTGAGACAGAGTCTTGCTCTGTTGCCCAGGCTGGAGGACAGTGGCGTGATCTGAGCTCACTCCAGCCTCTGCCTCCGGGGTTCAGGCAATTCTCCTGTCTCAGCCTCCCGAGTAGCTGGGATTGTAGGCATGTGCCACCACACCTGGCTAATTTTTGTATTTTTAGTAGAGATGGGATTTCACCACATTCGTCAGGCTGGTCTCGAACTCCTGACCTCATCTGCCTTGGCCTCCCAAAGTGCTGGGATTACAGGCATGAGACATTGCACCCAGCCTACACTGGCAAACTTCTAAGCACAACTCTACATTCTTTGATTTTTAGATTTCCTTTTAAAAACAATAAAAACACAATCACAAATGGCAGATTTTAGGGGTGTCCTCTTCTCTCCCATAGTCCTACCCTCAGACTTCATAAGAGAAATCTTTCTTTTATTCGTATTTCAACTCTCAGCCTGGAACAAAGCTATGACAAAAACAAAAACGTATTCTGAAAGCATCCATTATAAGGTTTATAAAAGTAAAATTTCAACAAAACTCAAATATTCACTGTAATGTTTCACACTAGATCAATGGACATGTTATCAAGGCCTCAATATCCTCTGATTACATAAAAGCAGAATGACTTCACAACTCATCTCAGTTCAACAACTAATATGTATGTATTAGTGAAAGATTTTCCCCTGGGTCTCCTCCTTTATGAACAAAACTTTCCCTTTAAGCATGATCTATTCATCGAAGTATTCTAGCTTTAGCAATTTTCATGAGGCCTGTGTAAAATTGTTGCTATATATGAATAAAAGGTGATATATTAGATATTGGGTATTTGGGGCATTGGGCAGACTTTTATTTAAACAATTAAATTTTTATGTTTTATCCATAAATGGTGATAATATAAAAACTTAGCCTAAGAACTCTTGAAATGGTGGTGAGGTTTCACTTTTAATTGAATCCTATATGATATTTATTCTCTTGAGATCAATGCATGTTAACCCCGATATCATACTCTATATCTAGCAAGGGAGAATAGAGGTTTTTAGAGAGCTTAGCAATAGAAAATTCAGTCCTATCAAAGAACTTCAGTTCAATTTAATATAATATATTCTATTTATATTCACTGAGCAATGATCATATGTTGAATATGTTACCAACACTCTATGGCATGGTCTCCAATGTTTTGGAACTTACAGTCTTTCTTGACCTATGTCTGCATGCATAAAAGAAAATCAGAATTCTGCCTCAGATCATGATAAGTGAATGGTACCAAATTTGCCTCCTGCCGAAAGAAACTGTAAAACTGGACATAAATATATGAGACAACTGTTTTCTGGTATTAGGCACAGACAGCTCAGAACCGCAATCATTGAGGGGAAAAAAAAAGCACAAGGTGGTCACCATTTTTGACTAGCTTCCTGTTTGGGGGCATTTTTCAGACTACTTCTAAGGGAAGTGAAGCCCAAGGAGAGGCCAGTGGTATCACTAAGCAAAGGAGAGAAATACAAGAGTTTGGAACTACAAAAGCAGCAAGAAATTCTGGGATAGAGAACTGGAGATGAGGAAGATGTGCAGAAATGGAGCCCAAAAACTCTACCCAGGAGGTTCTTGGCTGAAAGATTGGCAGCAGATATGTAGAAAGAGATACCACAAGGCCTAACAGAGGGTGGAGTTTGCGGGGCTCAGAGCTGTCCCACAAGAGAGACGCAATGGGTCTTCCAATGCTGAGAGATGTTTGGCCACTCTTCCACCCTCACTGTGTACTTCAGTCATTTAGTTTGGACTCCAGAAAGGACATGTCTAAGGAATAAGAACCACTTTAAAGTAGGAATATGCCGTAAGACTAAGGAAAAAATAGAGCAGCTCTAAAATAACAACAACAACAACAACAAAACCAAGCGTGAAATAAAAGGATTTACTACTAACAACCTAACAAAACAAAATTAAATATCTTTTTTAGTAAAAAATAGACAACATAATGAAGACAAAATAATTACCACAATGTCCAGCATAAGATTTGAAAAAATACTAAATTTGCGAGCCGCAGGAAAATGTGTACTAAAATTGAGAAAAATGCTGCCAATAGAAACAGAATTCCAAATGATTTGCAGTTTGGAATTAGCAGACAAGAACTTTGAAGGGCTATAAAAATGTACAAAGACACATAAAAAAATGTGGGCCTCAAGAACAAACAGATAAGAAATGTCTCCAGAGAAATGGAAACTCTAAAGTATTCAATTTCTAGAACGTGTTAAGCATATATCTCTGATATGGTTTGCCTGTGTCCCCACCCAAATCTCAACTTCAATTATATCTCCCAGAATTCCCATGTGTTGTGGGAGGGACCCAGGGGGAGGTAATTGAATCATAGAGGCTGGTCTTTCCCGTGCTATTCTCATGATAGTGAATAAGTCTCATGAGATTTGATGGGTTTATCAGGGGTTTCCGCTTTTGTTTCTTCCCCATTTTTCTCTTGCCACCACCATGTAAGAAGTGCCTTTTGCCTCTCGCCATGATTCTGAGGCCTCCCCAGCCATGTGGAACTATAAGTCCAATTAAACCTCTTTTATTCCCAGTTTCAGGTATGTCTTTATCAACAGCAAGAAAATGAACTAATACAATCTCAAATAAAAAATGTATTGATTGGCTTAATAGCAGATTGGAGACTGTAACAAATAGGCCAATGAACTTGATGACAGATCAATAAAAAATTATCCAGTCTGAAAAACAGCAAAAGATAATAATAATAAATAAAATAAAAATCTTACTAGAGTCTTAGGGACTTGTAGGAGCAATAGCAAGCTATCTGACCAATTTGCAACAGGAGGTCCATAAGAAAAGGATAAAGTTAATGAAGCAGAAAAAAAAAAAGAACAACAACCATCTGTTTCTAAAATCTAGTGAAAACATTAAGCTATAGATCCAAAAAATACAGGAAACTTCAAGCAGGATAAACACAAGGCTAACTACACCTAGGAACAACATAATCAAATTGCAGATAACCAAAGATAAAGAGAAAACATACATAAGTAGTCATTAAAAATACACATTATACACAAAGATACAAGTAACGGCTGAATTCTCATCAGAAAAATGCAGGCCAATATAGTTAGATAGAAAGCATAAGTTCTAGTGTTTGGCAGTATAGTAGAGAAATTATAGTTAACAATGATTTATTGTATATTTCAAAATAACTAGAAGAGAAAAATTATAATGTTCCCAACAAAAAGAAAAGATAAATGTTTGAGGTGATGGATATCCCAATTACCCTGATTTAATCATTGCACAATGTATACAGGTATTGGAATATCACGTGTACCCCAAAATATGTATAGCATATATACCAATTAAAAAATCTAAAAAATAAATTCAGAATCTAATTCAAAAATAGAAGAAAAATGCAGGCCCGAAGAATATGAAATGATGTCTTCAAAGAGCTAAAAGGAAAGAGAAAGCATTTTCCAAAATTTTATACACAGTGAAAAATATCCTCCACAATGAAGGTAAATTAAAGACATCTGCAGATTAGAGAAAACAGAAAATCCATCTCCAGCACACCTGCACAACAAGAAATACTAAGGCTAATGGAAATGATTCCATGTGGAACCATGAATCAACAAGAAGAAATGAAAAGCACCAAAAATGGTAAATATGTGGATGAATATAAATGATTATCTCTTTCCTCTTAATTTAAAAGATTACTAACTGCTTAAACTAAAAATGAAATCTTTTATTTGGTCAGATTTATAATGTATGAAGTAGCAAAACCAATGGTAACAACTGCATTAGGAATCGTGGAGTAAATAGAATTGCACCCTTGTAAGAGTCTCACATATTACACCAGGTGGGACAATAGTAGTTCTAGGAACACAATAATGAATTAAGAATGCATAGCTCCTAGAGAAATGACTAAAAGTCAATAATACTAGTGCTTCAGTAAGGATCACATCTCAGACCTAACAAAACCACCTCAAGATTGTCTTGAAGACACACTCTGGCAGGTTAAGTGAGATGGCTTCACTGAATGATCAAGTTGAAACAAGTGCCATCATTGTAGTACTTTTTCAAGAAATAGTTGATGTGGGTTTCTGGCCACAAATTGTGTGGCCTACTCCCATTAAAAAAAAAGAATGTTGCAGTATTCTTAATTATCTCCACTAATTGCCCTTCTATTTGCTTCCTGAGAGTTAAAACCATGTCCAAAACAAGTTAGAATGAGAGCCAAATGAGCCTTTTCTTTGGAGAAAAAAAAAAACATTGACAAACTATTTGTTTAATCTTTATACCAAGGTCTCAGGGACGAAGACTAAAACAATGACTTTATATAGACTGAGTAATAGACTGAATAGTATGTTGTAGGTGGCCATATAGATTTAACACTATTTTTAGAGGAATTAGGGTAATGGTGAGCATTTCTCCTTCAATAATGTTTTTTTCTAAAAGCTTGAAATATTGCATACTTTGATTGCATAATGGTTATATTCTTTAGTTATTTTTTTTCTTTTTTTTTTTGAGTCAGAGTCTTGCTCTGTTGCTCAGGCTGGAGTGCAGTGGCACAATCTCAGCTCACTGCAACCTCCGCCTCCTGGGTTCAAGCAATTCTCCTGCCTCAGCCTCCTGAGTAGCTGGGATTACAGGCACATGCCACTATGCCTGGATAATTTTTTGTATTTTTAGTAAAGACGAGGATTCACCATGCTAGCCAGGATGGTCTCGATCTCCTGACCTCGTGATCTGCTTGCCTCAGCCTCCCGAAGTGCTGTGATTACAGACGTGAGCCACCACGCCTGGCCCTATTCTTTAGCTATTTTTAATAACAGCAAGATTCACCTTCTGAAGTGCTGTGCTTATTGACATAATTCAAGCCTGGGGACTTGTAACATCAAAAGAAGTTCTGATATTTCTATTTAATTCTGGCCTTTTATTCACATTCTTTCATTTTTCCATTTTCAGCTAGTCTCTCATTTTTGCAGTGGTAATGAGAGAGATGAGTAGTTAGAATAAGTCTGTTCGTCAGACAAATAAGATGGCATTTGTCTTTGAGAGCACTTTTAATTTTCCTTTGTGCTGAGGTAAATCAGAAGCCTGTTAAGCCATGAAATGTTTTACAGTTCAATATATATAACAATATACATTGTTTTAGGCAAGAAGCCCTAGCTTTAGAGACCTGTGTCTTTCTGCAGTCTAATAAACCCTCAAATGCATTTGTCACCTGTGTGAGTCCATTTTGCATTGCTATAAAGGAATGCCCGAGACTGGGTAATTTATAAAGAAATGAAGTTTATTTGGCTTGCAGTTCTGCAGGCTGTACAAGCACAGCAGCAACATCTGCTCAGCTTTTGGAGATGCCTCAGGAAGCTTACAGTCGTTGTAGAAGGTGATGGCAGAGCAGGCATGTCACATGTTGAGAAAGGAAGCAAGAGAGAGAGGAGGAGGTGCCAGGCTGCTCTAAACAACCAGCTCTTTCATAAATTAACAGAGCAAGAGCTCACTCATTACCATTGGGAAGACATCAAGCCATTCTTGAGGGATCTGCCCCCATGACCCAAACACATCCCACCAACCTGCACCTCCAACACTGAGCATCACATTTCAACATGAGATTTGGAGGGGACAAAACATCCAAACTATATCATTACAGAAGGCATCGAAGAGGAATTCTTCAGAGCAATATTTTTCTAGTAACTTTCCCACTGATAAAATAAAAACCTTTGCTTATTGTAGAAACAATAGAAGTTGAGAGACTCGTTTATGTTCCTCAAGAAAGAACAAGTAAAACCCCATTTCCCAGACCAAGGCTTTTGAAGCTACTATATTGTGCAAAACCACACCAAGCAGATTCATTTACCATTTTGCCCATCCAGTATGCAGACATTGCATGTTGCATGGACTCTGACCTCAAGGATCTCACCATCACTGTAGGAGATGCACACATGAACAGATACTTACAATGCAATGTGAAAAGTCAATCATCATTACAATCCCCTATGTACTAAAAAATGTAGCCTTGCCTAAGGAAAGAGAGAGCTGGCTTCTGCCCTTGGCTTCTGGAGGCAGTCTGTAAACCCTTGGAATGTCATGCCTGATAGGGTTGTCTTTGTTTGCCTGCTGGCCTTGGATAAGACAGATAAATAACCATGTGATTTAGAGAGGGGGTTTTGGGTCACATAGTGTAAGCTAGATCTCTTGAGGGGCTGGAAATGGAGATCTAACATGTGGGCAATCAATTGTGCTTACGTGATGGAACTCCAACGAAAACTCTGAACACCAAGACACCTATGAGTTTCCTGGCTGGCAATACTCAGCATATCACCAGACATCAATCCTGGGAAAGTAATGCCATTCATGATTCAATAGGTGAAGGACAACTAGAAGCTCTGGGTTTGGCACTTTCCTAGACTTTGCCCTGGGTACTTCTTTTCTTGGCTAATTTTAATCTGTATTCTTTTGCTAGAATACAAACTAGAGTAACAAACAATGACTGTGATTATACAGCTTTTAGTAAGTTCTATGTACACTTCTAGTGAATTATTGAAACTGAGTGTGTTTGGGGGAACTCCCCAAACTTGCATTTGGTTTCAGAAGTGAGAATGGTCTTGTGGACTGTGCTCCCTCATACATCACATCACCTGTATCTTCAATGTCTTCTAACTATGACTTAATCCTGGCTTTTTCCTAAAAACACTTCTTCCCTGGGAGCCCTCTCAAATAGTGACTGTTTCTTTCCCACATTCCTCAGGCCTCTGGATGCAGAGGTGGGTTAAGTGTTCTCCATTTTCCTCATTTCCATTCTGGACCATTCTCTTAGCTGTTTTAAGAAAATCTTCCATTTCTAATCTCATGCTATCACTTTCCACCACCCACTACCTTTCATTGTTGCAATCATCTGCGTCCCCAAGCTTTAGATCACCTTCACTCCTCAAAGTTACCACCTGGCCTGGTAACTAATTGCCTTACCTGTCTCATGGATATGTAACTTTTGTTAGAAAAGTGCCATCCTGAAGAAAAGCCCAGAACTCAATCTGTACCAATCTAGACCCCTATCCAATCCAGGATCCCTCTGTCCTGAGCTGATCCTTCTATAGCCCTAAAGCCTATTTTCTCTAATAATATTTTTATGGAATTCTTTAAGGTTACTTGACTGCATAACACACCAAAGTTTCAGTTTTATTCCCTGCATTATTTTTGGCTTCTTAATCAGTTTGTGGGATATACCAGGGTCATAGGACCTCTCCTGGGAAAACTTTTGTGATCCATTCATTTTGATGGTTATATTTTAACATAGTTTCAAATTAAACCCTGCTATGTGCACAGAGAGGTGCTTGTTGCTTGGAATTCAAAGATAGAAAGACATCATTCCTATCCTCAGTTAGATCACTGTCCAATTGGGGGGATGGAACAGAAACTTAAGTATGTGTTGGAGCACAATATGATACAAACTAGACGAAGGCTTTGAAGGCACAAAGGACGAAGTATTGATGGAACCTTTCATTGATGTCTGGCAGTGGAACAGACAAAATCCTGCAAGAAGTCACTAAGAAAAATGGAGGAAAGATAAGTGTGTGACCTTCAGCTTTAACACAATATTTAGTCCCACTAATTGGAGCACAGCCAGAGGAGAGGAACCTGAAAGTGAAGGAAATAAATGAAATCATGTTAGCCAAAGGAAATGGAGCCTTAAGTCTGAGAAGAAGAAGACATGGATGGACATGATAGCTGGATTCAAGTGTGAGAATTGGTATCATTCAAGAAGACAAATGTAGTTCTTAGTAGCCTCAGATTGCAGCATTCAGAAGTTATCAAAAGTACTGGATTCAAGTCAGCTGTAGAATTTTCCTCTCAAGTAGAGTACCTAAAATGCAATGTCTGCTTCAGGAGGTAATGAGTCCTTTGTCACTAGAGAGGCTCAGGGAGAGTTTGGACACATATTTCCAGGGATGTTGTAGAGAAGATAAAATAATCATTTGGTGACAGGACTAAATGGTTTAAAACAGCTCTCTTTCTAAGGTTCTATACTTCTGTGCCTCTCCTGGTTCCCTGTCATCTGGCAAAGCCTAGAAAATAAATGAGCGTGAGAAATACTGCCTTTCCAGAGGTGACACACTTGGTTTGTTTGGCCTTTCCTGTTTATCTTTCCTCTGTGACATTTCTTCTCTAATCTACACAGAGCATATGCAATCAGTGAATTTAAGATGTAGAGTTATTTTAGTACAGTGGAAGAAAATGTCAGCATAAGTAAGATAGAGTAGGTAGATTTTAAGCTCATAGTCTAACATTATTTAATTAGCATGGCAAGAATTTAAAGAATTAAACAGCCTCTTGCAGACTCTCCCTTCTCACCCTCCCCTATTCACTTGGTACATTTTCTGTATTGCCAGTTCTGAGTGTGGACAACAGAATACACTCTGGCTAGTCTAAGGAGAAAGTGGATTTTTAAAAAATGGCATAAGCAGGTATTTTATATAAAATAGAGAAAAATGCAATTTTTTTAAAAAACAAACAAAACAAAAAACCTCACCCTCATCACAAGGATGCAATATGTTTCCATAATGTTCTTACTTGTATTAGTTTTCTATGACTGCTATAAAAAAAAAAATACCACAAGCAACATGGTTAAAAACCACAGAAATTTCTTCGTTCACAGTCTGGAAGCCAGAAGTCTGAGCTCAAGGTGTTTCAGGGCCATTCTCTTTCTGAAGGCTTCTTTGCCTCTTCCAGCCTCTGCTGGGTGGCTCCTGGTAGCCCTTGATTTGTGACAGTGTAATTCCAATCTCTGCCCCTATCTTCACATGGTCTTCTGGGCTGCATGTCTCCCTGTGTCCTCTCCTTTTCCTCTGAGTATACTAGTCATTGGACTTAGAGTCCTCCCTAAATTCTGGTGGATTTTGTCTTGAGATCCTTAGCTAATTAAATCTCCAACGACCATATTTTCAAATAAGGTCACATTCTGAGGTTCTGGATATACATGAATTTCTGGGGGACAGTGTTCATCCCATTCCCCTTGTCATAACTGAAATGTGGCTCCATGCTGAGGACCCTGCATCTCTCTCAAGCACATCTCATTCTTTCAGGGCTCCTCCAGCTGCTACTCTTACCTCTTTATTCCTCCATCTTTATGGGAAAACACATCCTCTTTTAAGATTTTTATCCTCGATATCTCATCTTCTCCTCTTCCTCATATGATAAAAGACAAAGACTTCCAGACTAGATTTAAAATACCAATGACAAAATTCACTACATGTTATTTATGACAGGGTGGTGGTTTCATACTGTGTCAATTTAATAAGCCGGGACACTTTCTGTATGTTCTCAGGCTAAAGTGTGTGGAAGTGAAGTAGCAGCCATTATTTTCTGAAGATTCTGGAGGCTAGACACAGGGAGAAATGAGGCAAGAGCTGTCCCTACACATTTCTACCAGCTCCCCTTACATTCCCACTCTGGCAGCTGGATAGGCTATTTTAGGAGGCCTGCTTTTTAACTTTTCTCTGAACCTCCAGCTTCCTCTTTCTGACCTGGATATTCTCAGCTTCTCCCACAATTGTGTAAGGTATTATTCCTGCAATAAATTTTTTGTCCATTGTATTTATAAAGGTTCTATTTCTCTAACTAAACCCTGACTAATAGAAATAGACAACATTTCCCACTAGAATGTAAATTCCATAAGGCAGATTTTTTTTTTTGGGTCTTTTTCATTCACTGCTTTGATCCTAGAACACTGTCTGATATATACTAAATAATCAATATTAATTGAATAAATTAATAGTTAATAAGAAGCAGATTTGAGAAGAATATGGTGATGCCGTCTTCAAAATGTTGAACTGGGGTTAATTTACATCATCTAAGTGTAGGCATCCTGTATGCAGCTGGTACTCAGGAGAGGCCTGGGACAGGAACATGAGTCATCAGCCTAAAGGTAGAGCCGCACCTATGATAATGCATGAGATTTCACCTGGAGAGGGGCCAAAGTGAGGGTTGACCTCTGGGGCATTAACACTGAGGGGTAAGAGGAAAATTAGGTAAGAGAATGTCAAGGAAACAACAGTAGATAAGATCATTAAGAAGGAGAGAGAGAGTGTATCAACATTTAAAATGATAATTAAAAGTAGATAATATAAGTTCTGAAATGCTTTCACTGTATGTGGCAACAAAGGGAACAGAATGCCCTTAGCAGGAGTAGTTTTATGATTAAAAACTGAGATAGTAAGTGTTAACCGATCTTTCCAGACAATTGGCCCTGAATGGCAAGAAGGAAATATGGTGGTAAATAAAGAACACATAGGATCAATAAAGAGTTTTTTAAAAAGATGAAAAGGAAAACATTGAAAAAGTCATACACACACACACACTTGTGTGTGTTAGTATGTAATTGTACATTGCACCTAATGAAACCTAGACAAGTGAACTGAAATCTGGCATTTACTAGCTGTGAGATCTTGGTCAAGTTAACAACAACAACAACAACAATAAATCTTTCTATAATCGTTTCTTTGTCTGCCAAATGGGTATAGTAGTGGTTCTGCATCATATTCTTTTAAAAAGTAAAGAAGATGATATAAAGTTCTCACTATTGTGCCAAATAGATAAGATCAGTAACTGAAAACTCATGAGTTACTTGCTGTTGCTAAGAAGAGAGAATGAGTGGAAAGGGAAAGTCAGGCCATCGCAGCAGCTCACGCCTGTATTCCTAGCACTTTGGGAGGCTGAGGCAGGCAGATCACTAGAGGTCAGGAGTTTGACACCAGCCTGGCAAACATGGTGAAACACTGTTTCTACTAAAAATTAAAAAATTTAGCTGGGCATAGTGGCGCACACCTGTAATCCCAGCTACTTGGGAGGCTGAGGTAGGAGAATCACTTGTACCCAGGAGGCAGAGTTTGCATTGAGCCAAGATGGTGCCACTGCACTCCAGCCTGGGTGACAGAGTGAGAGTCTGTCTTAAAAAAAAAAAAAAAAAAATAGAAAATAGGAAAAAAAAAAAAAAAAAAGGAAAGGGAAAGTCAATTGCAGAGAAAGTAAAAGGAAGGGCCTTTGGGAACAAAGTCCCCTGAGAAGTTTGGAAGTTAACAGATTCAAGGCAAAGTATGAGACAATTCACCTTAAAAAGGAATAGTTTTCTATAAAGATGAGAGGGAAGATGGGAAAGAGTTAGGATCCTAAAAAATTTAAGGAGTACAGGGAATCAAAATGAGGAAATTTCTGCTTCATCAATGAACTCTATTTTTTCTGCGAAGCAAGATCAGATGCCTGACCACTGTGAGTTAAGGAAAGAGCTGGAATGAAGTAGGGTACTTGAAAAGAGTAGCACTCATTTGAAGGAGCAGTTGTGGGGAATAAAGATAACTGTGTAGGGACAGATCAAAGGCTGGTCAGACAAGGTCGTGGACCCAATTTAAGATGAGGAACAATGACTTGCAGGAGCAGCAATCCCATGCAGTTGTGGACTTTCTCTAGCTGCCATTCAGCAGCTTGGGTTTACAAATGGAGAATGTGGTGGTGGATTGGTTTGTTATGGGGATTTTGCTGCACAAGGAAGTGAGGAAGCTGAGGGCACTAGCAAGAAAGTATCCGAAGCCATGAATCCTAGGCATAGTCAGCAGAGGGAATGCTGAAGTCATGAAGGGGCTGAGGTTTGAGAATCCTGGGGCCAGAAGAACAAGTGTGGTAGAATATGGAGCTATTTGGAAGAACTGATGCTTGCATTGAAGGTATGAATTTTCTGAAGTTAGGGAGAAATTCTCTCCTAGGGCTCCATTTTCTCCAGAGTTGTTTTCTCCAATCTTCAAGGGTATTTATTTCTTGCCCAGTACTAAAGTGTCTAGAGACTCTTCTGGACATTGGTTATTTGTCTGCATTTATTACAGCTGTATCATCTATATGACAGCTGTCATGGACCGCCTCTCTGCTGGTTTCCACCAAGAGACTGGGTACTCTCAGCCTAAAATCAAGGCTACCTGGCCATTAATTTCAATATTCTTCCATATTCTAAGAGTTCTGGCAGGGAAAAAATGCACAGATGCCCTCTCTCCTTGGGACCCCCAACTTCTCCCTTGCCCCAATCCCATAATATCTCCAGGGATTTCTTTTCATTCTGAGTTAAATATTTCTTTTCAAACCATACTCTCTCAGTGGGCTTAGGCTTATAACCCAAAAATAAAATTCTAAGGTCCCCCAATCATCTGAATGGACCCCTTCTCTCAGCCAAGAGCATTCCAAAGTTAACCTGAAAAACTAGTTCAGGACATAATGGGAAGTGGAGAGTTGAACATGCCTCATTATACCTTTCTCCCTTTTGGAATTCTGGAAAAACCAACCAGCATTAACATAAATACAGGCCTTAAGTCTGATAAGAAACATTTACAATCCATTCTCTTGGAAGCCTGCTACCTGGGGGTTTCATCTACATAATAAAACCATGGTATCAACAGCCCCTTTATTGTAACTCAGACATTCCTTTCTATTGATAACAACCCTTTCAACCAATTGCCAATCAGAAATTTTTTAAATCTACCTATGACCTGGGAGCCCCCTGCTTCAAATTGTCCCACTCTTCCAGATTGAACCAATGTAAATGTTACATGTATTGATTGATGTATTATGTCTTCCTAAAATGTATAAAAGAAAGCTGTACCCTGACTACAACCTTGGACATATGTTGCCAGGACCTCCTGAGGCTGTCTTGGGCAAAATAAACTTTGTAAGTTAACTGAGATCTGTCTCAGATACTTTTGGGTTCACAGCCTATACACAAAAAAAGCCAGGAAGTCAACCGCACACCTCACAGAGGCAAGGAATAATCAGTTGTCTACATGAGCAAGGGAGGAAGAAAGGGGAAAACAAAAGAAGGAAAAATTAGTTTGAATCTCAAAAAAAAACTGTCAGGCCTCTGAGCCCAAGCCAAGCCATCGCATCCCCTGTGACTTGCACGTATACGCCCAGATGGCCTGAAGTAACTGAAGAATCACAAAAGAAGTGAATATGCCCTGCCCCACCTTAACTGATGACATTCCACCACAAAAGAAGTGTAAATGGCCGGTCCTTGCCTTAACTGATGACATTACCTTGTGAAAGTCCTTTTCCTGGCCCATCCTGGCTCAAAAAGCACCCCCACTGAGCACCTTGCGACCCCCACTCCTGCCTGCCAGAGAACAAACCCCTTTGACTGTAATTTTCCTTTACCTACCCAAATCCTATAAAACGGCCCCACCCTTATCTCCCTTCACTGACACTTTTCGGACTCAGCCTGCCTGCACCCAGGTGATTAAAAGCTTTATTGCTCACACAAAGCCTGTTTGGTGGTCTCTTCACATGGATGCGCATGAAATTTGGTGCGGTGACTCGGATCGGGGGACCTCCCTTGGGAGATCAATCCCCTGTCCTCCTGTTCTTTGCTCCGTGAGAAAGAGCCACCTACGACCTCAGGTCCTCAGACCAACCAGGCCAAGAAACATCTCACCAATTTCAAATCCGGTAAGCGGCCTCTTTTTACTCTCTTCTCCAACCTCCCTCACTATCCCTCAACCTCTTTCTCCTTTCAATCTTGGCGCCACACTTCAATCTCTCCCTTCTCTTAATTTCAATTCCTTTCATCTTCTGGTAGAGACAAAGGAGACATGTTTTATCCGTGGACCCAAAACTCCCACGCCCGTCATGGACTGGGAAGGCAGCCTTCCCTTGGTGTTTAATCCTTGCAGGGATGCCTTTCTGATTATTCACCCATGTTTCAAAGGTGTCAGACCACGCAGGGACGCCTGCCTTTGTCCTTCACCCTTAGCGGCAAGTCCCACTTTTCTGGGGAAGGCGCAAGTACCCCAACCCCTTCTCTCCCTGTCTCTACCCCTTCTCTGCTTTTCTGGGGAAGGGGCAAGTACCCCTCAACCCCTTCTCTTTCACCCTGAGTGGCAAGTCCCGCTTTTCTACGGGGCAAGAACCCCCAATCCCTTATTTCCACGCCCCAACCTCTTATCTCTGTGCCCCAATCCCTTATTTCCGTGTCCCAACCTCTTATCTCTGCACCCCAATCCCTTATTTCCACGCCCCAACCTTGTATCTCTGTGCCCCAATCCCTTATTTCCACGCCCCAACCTCTTATATCTCTGCACCCCAATCCCTTATTTCCATGCCCTGACCTCTTATTTCTGCGCCCCATCCCTTATTTCTGCACCCTGACCTCTTATCTCTGCGCCCCAACCCCTTTCCCACTTTTCTGGAAGGTAAGAACCCCTGAACCCCTTCCCTCCATTTCTCTACTCTTTCTTTTCTCTAGGCTTGCTTCCTTCACTATGGGCAATCTTCCACCCTCCATTCCTCCTTCTACTCCCTTGGCCTGTGTTCTCAAAAACTTAAAACCTCTTCAATTCACACCTGACCTAAAACCTAAATGCCTTATTTTCTTCTGCAATGCCGCTTGACCCCAATACAAACTCGACAGTAGTTCCAAATAGCCAGAAAATGGCACTTTGAATTTTTCCATCCTGCAAGATCTAAATAATTCTTGTCGTAAAATAGGCAAACAGTCTTAGGTGCCTGACGTCCAGGCATTCTTTTACATATCAGTCCCTTCCTAGTCTCTGTGCCCAGTGCAACTCGTCCCAAATCTTCCTTCTTTCCCTCCCACCTGTCCCCTCAGTACCAACGCCAAGCGTTGCTGAGTCTTTCTAATCTTCCTTTTCTATAGACCCATATGACCTCTCCCTTCCTCCCCAGGCTGCTCCTCGCCAGGCCGAGCTAGTTCCCAATTCTTCCTCAGCCTCTCCTCCTCCACCCTATAATCTTTTTATCACCTCCCCTCCTCACACCTGGTCCGGCTTACAGTTTCGTTCCGTGACTAGCCCTCCCCCTCCTGCCCAGCAACTTACTCTTAAAAATGTGGCTGGAGCCAAAGGCATAGTCAAGGTTAATGCTCCTTTTTCTTTATCCCAAATCGGATAGCGTTTAGGCTCTTTTTCATCAAATATAAAAATCCAGCCCAGTTCATGACTTGTTTGGCAGCAACCCTGAGACGCTTTACAGCCCTAGACCCTAAAAGGTCAAAAGGCCGTCTTATTCTCAAAATACATTTTATTACCCAATCTGCTCCCGATATTAAATAAAACTCCAAAAATTAAATTCCGGCCCTCAAACCCTACAACAGGATTTAATTAACCTCGCCTTCAAGGTGTACAATAATAGAAAAAAGTTGCAATTCCTTGCCTTCACTGTGAGACAAACCCCAGCCATGTCTCCAGCACACAAGAACTTCCAAACGCCTGAACCGCAGCGGCCAGGCGTTCCTCCAGAACCTCCTCCCCCAGGAGCTTGCTACACTTGCCGGAAATCTGGCCACTGGGCCAAGGAATGCCCGCAGCCCGGGATTCCTCCTAAGCCACGTCCTATCTGTGTGGGACCCCACTGAAAATCAGACTGTTCAACTCACCTGGCAGCCACTCCCAGAGCCCCTGGAACTCTGGCCCAAGGCTCTCTGACTGACTCCTTCCCAGATCTTCTCGGCTTAGCGGCTGAAGACTGACACTGCTCAATCACCTTGGAAGCCCCCTAGACCATCACGGACGCCGAGCTTCAGGTAACTCTCACAGTGGAAAGTAAGCCCATCCCCTTCTTAATCAATACAGAGGCTCCCCACTCCACATTACCTTCTTTTCAAGGGCCTGTTTCCCTTGCCTCCATAACTGTTGTAGGTATTGACGACCAGGCTTCTAAACCTCTTAAAACTCCCCAACTCTGGTGCCAACTTAGACAATACTCTTTTAAGCACTCCTTTTTAGTTATCCCCACCTGCCCAGTTCCCTTATTAGGCTGAGACACTTTAACTAAATTATCTGCTTCCCTGATTATTCCTGGACTACAGCTATATCTCATTGCCGCCCTTCTTCCCAATCCAAAGCCTCCTTTGCGTCCTCCTCTTGTATCCCCCCACCTTAACCCACAAGTATAAGATACCTCTACTCCCTCCTTGGCGACCCATCATGCACCCCTTACCATCTCATTAAAACCTAATCACCCTTACCCCACTCAATGCCAATATCCCATCCCACAGCACACTTTAAAAAGATTAAAGCCTGTTATCACTCACCTGCTACAGCATGGCCTTTTAAAGCCTATAAACTCTCCTTACAATTC
Source organism: Homo sapiens (assembly GCF_000001405.40). Classification (NCBI taxonomy): domain Eukaryota; kingdom Metazoa; phylum Chordata; class Mammalia; order Primates; family Hominidae; genus Homo; species Homo sapiens. The sequence goes on from NC_000014.9 coordinate 38,193,881, forward strand.
CCCCATTTTACCTGTCCTAAAACCAGACAAGCCTTACAAGTTAGTTCAGGATCTGCGCCTTATCAACCAAATTGTTTTGCCTATCCACCCCGTGGTGCCAAACCCATATACTCTCCTATCCTCAATACCTGCCTCTACAACCCATTATTCTGTTCTAGATCTCAAACATGCTTTCTTTACTATTCCTTTGCACCCTTAATCCCAGCCTCTCTTCACTTTCACTTGGCCTGACCCTGACACCCATCAAGCTCAGCAAATTACCTAGGCTGTACTGCCGCAAAGCTTCACAGACAGCCCCCATTACTTCAATCAAGCCCAAATTTCTTCCTCATCTGTTACCTATCTCGGCATAATTCTCATAAAAAAACACGTGCTCTCCCTGCCAATCGTGTCCGACTGATCTCTCAAACCCCAACACCTTCTACAAAACAACTCCTTTCCTTCCTAGGCATGGTTAGTGCGGTCAGAATTCTTACAGAAGAGCCAGGACCGCACCCTGTAGCCTTTCTGTCCAAACAACTTGACCTTACTGTTTTAGCCTAGCCCTCATGTCTGCGTGCAGCAGCTGCCGCTGCTTTAATACTTTTAGAGGCCCTCAAAATCACAAAGTATGCTCAACTCACTCTCTACAGTTCTCATAACTTCCAAAATCTATCTTCTTCCTCATACCTGACGCATATACTTTCTGCTTCCCGGCTCCTTCAGCTATACTCACTCTTTATTGAGTCTCCCACAATTACCGTTGTTCCTGGCCTGGACTTCAATCCGGCCTCCCACATTATTCCTGATACCACACCTGACCCCCATGACTGTATCTCTCTGATCCACCTGACATTCACACCATTTCCCCAAATTTCCTTCTTTCCTGTTCCTCACCCTGATCACGCTGGATTTATTGATGGCCTAATCGCCACAAACCAGCAAAGGCAGGTTATGCTATAGTACAAGCCACTAGCCCGCCTCTTAGAACCTCTCATTTCCTTTCCATCGTGGAATTCTATCCTCAAGGAAATAACTTCTCAGTGTTCCATCTGCTATTCTACTCCTCAGGGATTATTCAGGCCCCCTCCCTTCCCTACACATCAAGCTTGAGGATTTGCCCCACCCAGGACTGGCAAATTAGCTTTACTCAACATGCCCTGAGTCAGATAACTAAAATACCTCTTAGTCTAGGTAGATACTTTCACTGGATAGGTAGAGGCCTTTCCTACAGGGTCTGAGAAGGCCACCGCAGTCATTTCTTCCCTTCTGTCAGACATAATTCCTCAGTTTAGCCTTCCCACCTCAATACAGTCTGATAACAGACGAGCCTTTATTAGTCAAATGAGCCAAGCAGTTTTTCAGGCTCTTGGTATTCAGTGAAACCTTTATATCCCTTACGGTCCTCCGTCTTCAAGAAAAGTAGAATGGACTAAAGGTCTTTTAAAAACACACCTCACCAAGCTCAGCCACCAACTTAAAAAGGACTGGACAATACTTTTACCACTTTCCCTTCTCAGAATCCAGGCCTGTCCTCGGAATGCTACAGGGTACAGCCCATTTAAGCTCCTGTATAGACACTCCTTTTTATTAGGCCCCAGTCTCATTCCAGACACCAGACCAACTTAGACTGTGCCCCCAAAAAACTTGTCATCCCTGCTATCTTCTGTCTAGTCATACTCCTATTCACCGTTCTCAACTACTCATACATGCCCTGCTCTTGTTTACACTGCCGGTTTACACTGTTTTTCCAAGCCATCACAGCTGATATCTCCTGGTGTTATCCCCAAACTGCCACTCTTAACTCTTGAAATAAATAAATAATCTTTGCTGGCAGGACTATGCCGAATCTCCTTAGGCACTCTCTAATCAGATATCCTGAGTCGTCCCAATTCTTAGACCTTTTATACCTGTTTTTCTCCTTCTGTTATTCCATTTAGTTTCCCAATTCATCCAAAACCGTATCCAGGCCATCACCAATCATTCTATATGACAAATGTTTCTTATAACATCCCCACAATATCACCCCTTACCACAATACCTCCCTTCACCTTAATCTCTCCCACTCTAGGTTCCCACGCCGCCCCTAATCCCGCTTGAAGCAGCCCTGAGAAACATCGCCCATTCTCTCTCCATACCACCCCCCCAAAAATTTTTGCCGCCCCAACACTTCAATGCTATTTTGTTTTATTTTTCTTATTAATATAAGAAGGCAGGAATGTCAGGCCTCTGAGCCCAAGCCAAGCCATCGCATCCCCTGTGACTTGCACGTATACGTCCAGATGGCCTGAAGTAATTGAAGAATCACAAAAGAAGTGAATATGCCCTGCCCCACCTTAACTGATGACATTCCACCACAAAAGAAGTGTAAATGGCTGGTCCTTGCCTTAAGTGATGACATTACCTTGTGAAAGTCCTTTTCCTGGCTCATCCTGGCTCAAAAAGCACCCCCACTGAGCACCTTGCGACCGCCACTCCTGCCCGCCAGAGAACAAACCCCCATTGACTATAATTTTCCTTTACCTACCCAAATCCTATAAAATGGCCCCACCCTTATCTCCCTTCGCTGACTCTCTTTTCGGACTCAGCCTGCCTGCACCCAGGTGATTAACAGCTTTATTGCTCACACAAAGCCTGTTTGGTGGTCTCTTCACACGGACGCGCATTAAAAAAACATCCTTACATAATATGTTAAAGGATGCTATACAATATGGGGAAAATGATATAAGTATATGACCCAAGAGGATGAAAAAATTCACTTATTGGCAGAAAGGACAACATCATTTGTATGTAGAAAATCACCTCTCAAAATAGTAAGTTGCTGAAAGGGGAGTGGTTGCGCTAGAATCAGCACCAATGACTCTTTTATCCTATTTCTCAGTTTTAGGGGAAAAGACTCTACAAAACTACAGGTGTTTTGCTGACAGTAGAAAAAAACCTTCCCTTGTTAACATGTTAGTCAAGCTTTGGAAAAGACATCACATGTCAAATCCTATCACAGGATGCTTTATAGAGATTATCTATTTTAAATTTTATTGGAATTTCGATGACATCAAGTTGTTATTGCTTGGACCACAGTGGTGGTGGTTATCTGAAGATTTCTGCAAAAGTGCCATGCCTCCTCAAATAAGGCAAGTCATCTAAAAAATATCCCTTATATATATTTTTCATTTCTTTCATCATGTTACAGAGAATTTCAGTGGTATTCTAAGACTCAGCCTCCCCAAGGAACCAAATCAAGCTTTTATGCATCAGTGGAAACCAGAAATTACTAACAGTATACACAGTGGCAATGGCCAGAGATTACTCTTTCATCTGGTTCAACCCCTAGAGACACAAGGTCTCATCCTGTTCACACCCAAATCCCCCTCCTTCCCCAAACACACAGCCTCCACATGCATTCTCTGACAAGCCTGAGTAATATTTCATCAGTTCTCCCTAGCCACTCAGTCCAGGTTTTAATATAGCTGGAATATCTTGGGTAGCTTTATCAAGATGTAAACCTTATAATCAAGGCTTAGTTCAAAATTTAAGTTTTTCCAGCTGTCAACTGACATACAACTGTATAAAATCTGAAACTTTCCCTATCAAAGTTCTCAATGTTAAAATCTCCCCCTAGTGGATTTTCAGAGCATGTGTTTTCACAAGTAAAACTGAATAGAATTTTCAAAAAAAAAAAAAAAATGCTAAAAATTTCATATGTGTGAAAAATAAGACCTATTAATCTCAAAGTTCAGAGGGGAAAAAATGCAATTTCATTTAAAAGCTTGCCATCAAAAAAATTCTAAAACTAAAGTAGAATAGTTTTGGTTTACTCTAGTCTTATGTGCAAGTGTGAATATTGAGTTTTACAAGTTTTTCTTGTGTGTCATTATCCTCTATTAAGTTAAGGCATTTTAATGGACTAAACATGGTAATTTCTTACTTAATTGTTTAGTGAAGAGAGGCATAATGTTTCAATTAGGAAAGAATGATCCCCCACATGAGTGAATCTGCCATCTGTGTATTCTCATCTGTTAAAACTGTTAGTCAAATCAACAAAAGTCCAAGTGCAAAGTCCCTAAACCAGTTGAAATGGGCACACACTTGCTCTAGGGAAGGGGAAATTTTATTTTAATTGATTTTGTTCCAGCAGCAATCCCTCTTCCTTTCCTGGGAATACATTTTGGCTGGGATTTTGTGGCATCAATACAAATCACTTCAAAGCAGCTATTGCTCATTTATCCTCTACCTAGCGGCTCTGCTGACCCACCACTTGGATATCCATTTTCCTGAGGTGGGGCAAAGATGAGGCATGACAAGACCACAGGAATGGTGTAGGAAAAAACTACAGAGAAATACTCATACAGAAGACAGCACAAAGCTGCCTGCAGTACTGATCGTCACATGTTTAGAACTGGGAAATGGTGGTCAGTTGTTAACAGAAAATGCATTTTCTTTGGTACCAAAATACCAATGGCTCATCAATCTTAATACTTTTATAATAACATTTTTTAAGGTTAAATTCTTTCAAAACATGTCACTCCAAATTTCTGATGAGGTCTAGTTACTTTTAAATAATTAGGCAACATGAATAGAGGAGAAGACTGAGGCAATTATTGGATTCATTGAGGAATGCATAAAACATAAAAATGACTTAAATTTGCTATTTATGTAATTTCGTGGTCTCAAAACCACACTTTAATTGAATCGAGTTTAGTAAGAGATAAGACCACAGCAGTGTGGCATGATGTTTAAGAACACAGGCCTTAGGGTAGATTGTTAGAGTCAAATTCGAGCTCTGACTGTGTGACTTTGAGCCAGTTATTTAACCTCTCTGTGCCTTGGTTTCTTCATCTGCAAAATGAGAGTAGTAAATAGAAGCTTCCTCATAGTGTAGTTGGAAGGGTTAAATATGCTGAAACCGTAAATGGAAAGTACTTAGTACACACAGATCCCACAGCTTTTTTTGTTCACTTTCAGACATTAACAGTCTTATTTTCAGACATTATTTTAAAAATCCTTTTTAAATTGAAACTTTCATTTCTCATTGAACTTAAATCTCTTTGTCCCTATACCAGCTCCAGCATGACCTATGCTTGGATCCTGTAGTAGGGAAGAGGGAAGCGGTTAATTCTTTATCATGTCTTTGCAGTATTTTTTTACTCTACCTCCCTCACCCCTTTCTCTGTCTTTGGTTCCTGCAGGGGAGAGGGAAAATCATTTGGGGACAGCCAACTTCTTCCTTGAGCGGTGCAGTTATAATCATGCATTGTGCCCTCTGTGAGTGCTTCTTTCTCCTTTGAAATTCTTCAGTGGGTTCTTCAGCATCGCCCACTCTGTTGCTGGAGACCACCCATTGTGCCCTTGGATGGCGTGCCCAATATCCTTGGCCAGCTGGCTGCATTCCCCACTCAGCTACTGATTGTTGATTGTTGTGCTTCACGAACTTCCCGCTGAGCGTCCTCTCATCCTGGGGTGGAGAGCAGGCCCATCACGGGGCTCCCACCTGCCTGCCTGCCATACTGTCCATGCCAGTGCCTGAGAAACACCGCCTCTGCTCCACTTTCAGTGGGAACCAGCGTTTTGCACCCCCCTCCATAGCCTTTTCTCTTCACTCTACCACCTGAAGCAATTCCCACTGGGCCGCTTCTTCACCTTTAAGTTTTCCAGGTAAGAATCAGACATCAGTCTCTGTGTCTTGTCAAATGTTCAGGGATACTACCAAGCTCTTTAAGTGGTCTTATAGAAGCCTCCACAGTTTACAGATGGGGTAAGCACCCACTTTCCATCTTTTGTGGGAAGAAAAATGCACAGCACTCTGAGAACTGTCTCTAAGGAATTAATCACTATCAACTTCCTTTCTACTCTCATATATGGAGGTAGGCAATGGGCTAAGGGGGTGGACTAGCACCTCTCTTTAGAAAGTGGATACATTTCCCAATTGCAGTCATCAGGTTGGGAGCCTGGGGCCTCACTGGAAATTGAGACAAAATAAAAGTTAAGTTCAACTTAGACTGTGCATATGTAACATTCAAACATTTGGGTTATTTGAGTCAGTGAGTTCAGTGATTAGTATGAATCCTTACCATGTGGTAGACTAGATTGACTTCAGTATGACGTAGATAGGTGTGATTAATAACTTAGAGTTATTTTAGCTGAGGGTGTGTCATGTACCAAAAACTGGTGAATGGAACATAGTTCACAGTGTTGGAATTATGGGACTCAACTGGATAGGCAGGAGGAAAAAGAAAGGGTAAGTATCATACACATAGAAACTGTCAGTATTTTTTAGACTGCAGAAGTGAATGTCAGACCTACTGTATTAAGCTCTTAAGCAAGGGACAAAACTGGATTTTTCAAGTCTGGGGCTAATTCAAAAACAGTGTTACATTGTAACCCATACCTCAGAAATTATTTTATAATAGCTAAATATTTACATAGTGCTTACTATATGCCAGACACTGTTTTAAACACTTTTAATGTATTTAATCCTTTTAACAATTTTACAAGATAGATGCACTGTTACTTCCTTTTACAAATGAGGAAAATGAAGCACAGAGGGATCAAACAACCAGCACAAGGTTAAAGTCATGGAAAATATGAGATGTAAGCCCTGATGTTTGGTATTAGACTACACTTTGCTTTCACAAACATTATCTTGTGATTTATGTCACAAATAAATCACATTATATAGCAATGATAAAGCAATTCCAAAAGATAGGCATATCAGACTCAAGCATACTCAATGAATCACTTAGCTATGGGATGATAGGGGCTGCCTAGAAAATAATAGACTGTTGTAGCTCCTGTTCCAGTTCCTTCTACCACCTTCTGACGGGTATGTTTTGTTTGCCATTTAACTTACATCACAACATGTTAATTTCAAGAATAAATTTATTAGTGTTTTTCTAAAAGTAAAAATAATTGAGGAGAAAATAAATCAGCAAATGTTATATTAAATAGAACAGACACTTACGGCCTGGAGTCTTTTCATTTTTAAGGTATAAAAAGCTTTTATTGCTTTTATCTTACTTAAAAAGCAATGCGTGCTTATGACTGAAGAATTAGAAAATCTCTGCAAAAGGGAGAAGAAAGCATTCACAACCCAACTACCTGATGATAACCACTGTTAATATCTTAGTAACTGTCCTTTCAAGCCTATGCATATATATGTTCATTTAATGTGTGTGTGTGTATTTACATCATTATTTATATAACATTTTTATTTTTGACTGGGGGAAGAGCAAAATTTTATTTTGGAATGAAAAAGGCCAACGGGGTAGTCAGAAAAGAATAAAGTGAGTGGTGTGGCATCCTCTCTCCATCTTCTTGGTGGCTTGGGTTATACATCTGTGCTTCAAGTTCTTCCAAAGGCCCAACTGTTTTGTTTGGTGTGCATGTTTGCTTACCTTGAAAGTTATCAATCAAGCTCAGAGTCCGTTAAATAAAATATAGCCTATCATCTATCTTCATTATGACCTGGAAAGACAGAGTCCAATTTAGACTCCTAGCCCTCTTCACAAGCTCTACCCTGGAACTTGCCCCCACCAGTAGCCTGTCCTACTTCAACTTCCATTCCTGGCTTTGTCCTGCCCAGTGAATAGGCTCATGTACATTAGGACAGATACCTGAACCCCTATGGCCAAGCTCATTACTCATCTGCCACATCCTCTCCTAGTCACCTCTGAGCCTCTTCTTGGCCATGTATTTGGCTCACACTTCCCTGGAAGTGGGTTTGGAGCCTCTGGGCAGGGAGTCATGGAGTCTAGAAGATTGTGATCTAGCGTATGGGCTAGATGTGGCTTGCGGGCTCAGACTGGGCACTTGTTGGCTGCAGGAACTCCTTCCCTTGCCGGGAAGGATGTGGCTAGAAGCGGGAAAGAACAGGATCTTCATGTATTCTCTATATGAGGTGCTGATCAAAATAAATAATTATTTACACCTAGAGATGTTCTCTAAATTATGACTGTAGAAAGTAGGTAAGTAAGTTAAAATTGGGAATGTGTAGCTTTAGCATGCCAACACCTACATCTGCAGAATCCCCATGGTTTATGTGCGCTGTTGCCTTTGACTGGAACAACCTTCATCAGACATGTGCCCTTTTACTTTCACCTTATTCATAACTGCTCAAACATCTTCTTTCCTTCCCTTTCCATCTAATCTATACCAAGTGCACCCACCCCTCCAGCACTCTGTATCCTCTCACCCCCACTTATCTTCTTAGAACTTATCACGAAATGAAATTACAGTACCTGTACTTGTTTACTGTCTTTCTGCCCTACTAGAATTCCACAGAAAATTAATCTAATTTGTCATTATATCTATTGTGCCTAGAACAGTGCCTGCCACCCAGTGGGCATTCCCTAAGTATTTGCTAAATTACTAAGTTACAATTAAAAACACACATTACTCATACATAGTGGAATTCTGATATTAATTTCCACTTCCTTTTAACTAAGAAATGGGGCAAATAACTGGAAATAAATCTTTTCTACTGCAGTCTGAATTTTACTTCCATAAAATAAAACACATACAAATAATTTTTTAAAATTAGGATATAATATCAGAAACCACTGCATTGGCTAATGGCATAAGCAGCGAAATCTTGGCTCAACCAAACAGTCAACAAAGAAGGAGTGTAGGCCAGGTGTCCCCACCTAGGCTATGCTATCTTCTTACTTCCTTCTTCTGGCAGGAAAGGAGATGTCAGGCTGTAGGAAAGTAGTAGCACGGGCTACTTCCTCAAGGACTAAGTAAAGTAGCATTCCATGCTGTGGGCAAAAGGAGACAGGGGCAGGGCCAGGTGCTGGTGAGGAGAGGCAGTCCACTCTCAAGAGGGGACAGTGAGGTGAGGATCCAGGACCTCTTTCCGGACCACTCCTGGTAGTTCTGAGTTCCAGTCTGACAGCTCACAGACACAGCCCCCCATTTTGCCTCCAGCAGGAGAAGACAAGGAGATGGAGAGACTGTCAACCTAGAACCAGTAATGACCAGTTCCAACTTAATTACAGAAAGGGAGAAAAGATCAATCATTTAAGTTGCTTCATCGTCTAAATAAAAGTGTTTTGGCTGTTGAAACATGAACCTAGACTCCTGCCTCAACATATTTAAAATGAGAACAAAGTGGCAGTATCATGGTGGTGGGCGTTTAGATGCTTACATTGTTTTCATCTACAAAACAGGCTTTCCTTTCACACCCTAGCTCTTTGCTGGGCTGGTGGAGCTGATTGACAGATATAGCCCGCTCCAAAGGAACAGCCCTTTCTCAAGGAATGAATGATTTGCTCTAAGTATTTAAATCCTCTGCTCAAAATCAAACATAAATTGAAGTATCAAAATAAACAAAAATATGGTTTGTGGTTTTGAAAGCATTTCTTTGTGATTTTTGCTAAAAAGAGAAATGCCAAAAAAATTTTTTTAAAGATTTTGAGACAATTATCTGGCGCAGTGGCTCACGCCTGTAATCCCAGCACTTTGGGAGGCTGAGGCAGGCAGATCATGAGGTCAGGAGATCAAGACCATCCTGGCCAACATGTTGAAACCCCATCTCTACTAAAAATATAAAAATTAGCTGGGCATGATGGGCGCCTGTAATCCCAGCTACTCAGGAGGCAGAGGCAAGATAATCACTTGAATCCAGGAGGTGGGGGTTGCAATGAGCCAAGATCATGCCACTGCACTCCAACCTGGGCAACAGAGTAAGATTCGTTCTCAAAAAAAAAAAAAAAAAAAGAAAAGAAAAAAGATTTCGAGACAATAGTTTTAAACTAATGCATCCATCTTAAAATCCTTAACTAACAGACTTTATTACAGAAAAATGTATTACTGATAAGGACTATTCAAAATAATACAGATAACATGAATGTGCTCCTGTTCTGCTTTTATGTTTCCATTATTTGTAATGAATACTTTCCTGTATGTGCTGAATTCTTGTTTTTAGAAATATTATTTTGTAGTAGAGAAAACATAGGGAAGAATAGGAGTTGTTACACCATATGGGTCTTTGCTAAAAGCACAAAAAAAGACTCTGTCATGCTGTTCACAGAAGAGGCAATAGGAAAATCAGTGGGCCAGGGTGAGTTTGCTGAGGTTGGTGATGAACTAAACCACAGGCTACCAAGGCTGCTGTGATTGGGTATTCCTGAGAAATGAAGTCCAGGATTGTTTCTTAGCCCTATAGCCACATTTGTGCTCTGGTAACTTTCTCGTTAGACTGACATCATGTTAACTGCTTAGTGGCAGATGGTCCTTAAGTGACACAACCTTTGCTGTAGGCCATATTGCTGAGTGGTGTTAGCCCCTTATACTCAATTTGGTCCCATCTGTCCAGACAGGTGTTTGTAAACCTGACACTGATTCTGCTGCTGCAGACAATGTTCCAGGAAGTGTACCCTTTAATCCCTGGCTCCAGCCAGCCCTTTATCATTGGTATGAATTAGAGATGCTCATTTAAGGATCAACACAGGCTCTGATTGGAAAAACCACATTAGTAATGATTTTGACATAAGCAGAAGTTGAGGTGCTGATAATTACTATTCCACCAAACGAACTGAGGCTCAAAACTGCTATTAAAAGGAAATGATCTTCCATGTATGATGACTTTCACACTGCATGACACTATTAAATAACCATCATTAGCTACTAATGCATGTACTACCCATTTTCCAGAGCCCTTTCTCTGCTGAGAAATTTAAGACCAAGAATGATCAATGAATGAGTCATCAGTATGACAATTGTTGATATAGGACATGCAAATTGAAATTATTTAGAATAATTTAAGTGTATAAGGAATTAATACACATGATGATATTCCTCAGCTAGTAAAGCTCTACTTATAAGGAGCTCACAGTTTATTTCTTTGCATCTACATTTTATAATCTAGAAAAGAGGAAAGTACTATCCATGGGATGCCTTGACAAAATAAAACAAGGTGATTTGGGGCAATTTTGTAGGTACTGCACTAGATGCTGGGGATAGAAAAATAAATAAAATGCAAGCCCCTGGTCTCCACAAGCTTACAAATTTATAAGAGGGTACAGACAAGTACACAAAAAGCCACAGTACAGTGTGATAAATATAATAATCAAAGTGTGCACCTGGTACATGATAGCACAGGAGAGTATAGCTTGTAGGAGAAAGTTACAGTGAGGGAAGAAAATCAGTCTGCTCAAGAATCTGCAACTTCCTAAATTGGAACATTTCATTTTCCCCTTTCTGGAAAACATCTCCTTCTTTTCTATCTATAAATGTTCATATCACAGAGGCATAGGAAAGATGGTAACCAAAGAGGGCTGGAGGACAGGTAACTTGTAGGGAGAAAACAAGCTCTTCCTAATCTTTTCAAGGTTTTAGACATGTGAACCTAAAAAGTTTTTAACAAGACAAGAAGATTGTTGAGTCCTGACTATTCACTGGCTGCGTTTTTTGCAAATTAAAGTGATCTCATGCCCATATCAGTTTTCCTTTTTCTTTGGAAATATTTACATTAAATTGAGATCTGAGGGGAAGATAGCGCTCTAACTGGGATCCTGCTTTTAATATAATTTGAAAATAGCTGCAACCCCAATCCACCTTCCTGGTGGCCCAGAAATGCCACCCTTTTTGTTTGTTTGTTTGTTTTTGTTGTTCATAGATTAGTTCACAAATACAATAATTAGAAATACATGACTGGGCTGAGCACGGTGGCTCACACGGGTAATACCAGCACTTTGTGAGGCTGAGACAGGAAAATTGCTTGAGCTAGGAATTCCACACCAGTCTGTGCAAGATAGGAAGACCCCATCTCTACAAAAACCTTAAAAATTAGCCAGGCATCGTGGGGCACACCTGTAGTCCCCAGCTACTCCAGAGGCTAAGGTGGGAGGATCACTTGAGCCTGAGACATCAAGGCTACAGTGAGCTGTGATTGTGCCACTACACTCCAGCCTGGGTGATAGAGCAAAACCCTGTCTCAAAATAATAATAATAATAATAATAATAATAATAATAATAATAATTTAAAAATAAATACATAACTGAAAAGATTTAATAATGCTGCATAGCTTATATCCATCTCAATCCCTCTCTTTGTCTTTCTCTCATGCTTTTTAAAATTGAAGTAAAACTCCCATAATATAAAATTTATAATTTTAGTCATTTTTGAAGTGTACAATTCAGGGATTTTTAGCATATTCACAATGTTATGCAATCATCACCACTATCTAATTCCAGAACATTTTCACCACTCAAAAAAGAAAGCTCATACCCATTAAGCAGTCCTTCCTCTTTCCCCTCTGCCCCCAGCCCCTGGCAACCACTAACGTACCTTGTCTGTATGTATTGCCTGCCCTGGGCATGTCATATAAATGGAATCATGCCACACGTGGCCTTTTGTGTCTGGCTTCTTTCCCTTTGCATAGTGTTTTCAAGCTTCGTCTACGCTGAAGCAGGTATTAGTACTTCATTTCTTTTTATGGTTGAATACTATTCCATTGTATGGATATACCACAATTTATTAATTCAGCAATTGATGGATATTTGGATTGTTTCTAATTTTTGGCTATTATGAATAGTGCTGCTATGAATGTTCATGCACAAGTTTTTGATTAAACACCTGTTTTCAATTTTGAGGAGTAAATAGAAGTGGAATTGCTGGCTCATATGGTCATTCTTTTAAACTTTTAAACTTTTTAAGCAATTGCCAAAATTTTTTTCTGAAGTTGCTGCATCATTTTTTATTCCCACCAGCAATGTATGAGTGTTCTAATTTCTCCACATTCTCACTAACGTTTATTTTTTGTTTTTAAAAATGTTCTTATAGCCATCCTAGTGGGTGAAAAGTGGCATCTCAAAAAAATAAAAATAAAAAGCATTCTCACGTCAGGTCTTAAGTTTTCTTCTTTTGTATATGAGGCCACAAAATTGAGAGAAATTTTCCCTAAGATGAGCTGAAAGTGAATTTAATGAAATTCTGAACAACAGAGCTGTTTTTCACTGACTCCCATCACACACTTCCCAAAGAGCAACCATGATCAAAGCCAAGGCATCTAAATAATGACTGTTGAAATCCAAGCTCCCAGAGGTACAGATAGTCAGGTGTCTTTAGTCAGTGATTGGCAGAGGCATCTAAGGCATTATATGAGGCTTGGCTAGTAAAATGCTCTTCTGGGATTCTGGGACAATACCCACTCTCTTTTCTTTTAACTTAATGAACATTTATTTTCTCTCCATATGTGCTGTATTTGTAAAGGAAAAATAAATATAACTAAACACCAATTGTACATTCCACTTTAAAGAAGGCAATTTGTTCAGGTAAAATAATGGGTTAAAACAGTTTCAGCCGTATGAAATTTCAAATTCCATCCTAGCACATTCCTCATTAATAATTGCACACATTCCTATGAAAGTCTGTCATTTATTTTAGTCTTTGATTGCTATCATCAACACACTACAGAAGTTATTCTTTCCTGTTCAAGACAATTAGTTTTGGGAACTAAAACACATGCAGTATATGTAAGTGATTACCTGGATAAAGCAACAGGGCATTAGGAAATATACTTTTTTGTTTTTAATTTCTGCATCCATTTCTTCATTCTGGACCGGTACAGATAGCCTCCATGAGGAGTTTAGCCTCTCCTTGGAGTAAACTCTACTGAGAGGAGGAAAACTGAGACTTACAGTACAGCGGGCACAGCCTGGTTGAGGAGAAGGAGAAACTAAGGAAAAACTGGAGACAGCAAAGCTTGAAGGAGGCAGAGCACTAAGCTGCTGCGGGTCACTCTTCCTGTGAACAGGCTAGTTTCAAATAAAGGCTTGCAGGGATCTTACCGAGCAAAGCAACGTTTATGAAAAGGAACAGGGAAGTTGCATGGAGTGTGATTCTTCCTTCCACAGGAACAGTTGGAAAGCCAAAGAGACCCTAGAGTAAGAATGGTGGTAAGTCCCAGGGTTCGTTTAAAATCCTGATAACGGAACATACATTCTTTCTTACGGGAAAACCGTTTTGATTCTTAAATGAAGTCAGTGAGCTTCAGGCTTGCCTACATTGATATCTCCTAATGGTTTGGGCACGTGACCCAGAGCCAGCTCACAAATCAAGCCTCAGAAAGAGCTGACATCCTAGCTCTTCCCGGAAAAACTCGAATGTCGCCCTGCCGTTCCTGGGGTTGGTGACAGGTCTGGTCATCGCACGGCGGCAGCTCCTCACCTGGATTTAGAAGAGCTGGCGTCCCCGCCCGCCCAAGCCTTTAAACTCTCGTCTGCCAGAACCCGCCAACTCTCCAGGGTACAAAGTACAGCAGGGACGCGGGTGGAGCCCTTCCAAGCGGCGCAGCCTTATCTTTCCCGAGTGAACACCTAGGTGGATTCCCAACACCGCGCCTGGCACGTTTCTGGAGGGAGTCTCAAGCTCCTCCAGAGCTCCCAGCTGCGCGTCCTCGTTTCTGCAGTCGATATTCCTGTGGGAGACACGGGGGGCTCTGAGCGCTACGAGCTTTATTAAGAGATTTGCGAATGGTTCACTCAGGTCCCTGAACACTCCCAATAGCCTAAGCTGCCTGCTGTGTTATAGCGCAGAAGCCCCTAACGCACGGTGGTTGTCCTTTCTTCTCATAACGCTCGCAGCTTAGGGCCAGTTTCCGCGATTCTAAGAGTAATTGCGTGGGCACCTGTGCTGGGGCCAGGCGCAAAGAAGGGAGTTGGTCTGCGCGAAGATCGTCAACCTGCTAACAGACCGCACATGCACTTTGCACCGACCATCTACGTCTCAGTCTGGAGGTTGCGCACTTTGGGTAAGGAGGGCCCGGAACTTCCCTGGCGGGTCTGAGCTGCAAGGCAAGCGAGGGTGGGAAGAGGGAATTTAGGGTTCTGGACTGCGGGACGGGAGAGAAGCTGGGGTCTCCAGAGAAAAGGGCAGCAATGGAGGGAAACTGAGATGAACTCCAGACATCCATGTTCATGGATCCGTTTGAGTCTTTGCTTTGGGTAGGAGAGGAGTGGAATGAGACAGAATCTATACCTTTGGTTCCCACCCGCCCTCCAGTAAGGCCGAGGAACTCTCTTGGTTCCTCTGAGAGCAAGAGGCAGATGGTGCTGCGAGGGAACCCCGGAAGGAGCCACTAAAGTTGAGCAGAGTGCAGGACTGGGAAGGAAAAAAATGGGGGGCGGGGGGGACAAGCCACCTATGTGCTCTCCTCCCTTTCTCCACCCCACCCCCTTTTTTCGTAGCTGCTGACGCGCTGGTGGTGCCTATTAATCATTTACCAGTCCAGAGCCGCGCCAGTTAATGGCTGTGCCGTGCGGTGCTCCCACATCCTGGCCTCTCCTCTCCACGGTCGCCTGTGCCCGGGCACCCCGGAGCTGCAAACTGCAGAGCCCAGGCAACCGCTGGGCTGTGCGCCCCGCCGGCGCCGGTAGGAGCCGCGCTCCCCGCAGCGGTTGCGCTCTACCCGGAGGCGCTGGGCGGCTGTGGGCTGCAGGCAAGCGGTCGGGTGGGGAGGGAGGGCGCAGGCGGCGGGTGCGCGAGGAGAAAGCCCCAGCCCTGGCAGCCCCACTGGCCCCCCTCAGCTGGGATGTTCCCCAATGGCACCGCCTCCTCTCCTTCCTCCTCTCCTAGCCCCAGCCCGGGCAGCTGCGGCGAAGGCGGCGGCAGCAGGGGCCCCGGGGCCGGCGCTGCGGACGGCATGGAGGAGCCAGGGCGAAATGCGTCCCAGAACGGGACCTTGAGCGAGGGCCAGGGCAGCGCCATCCTGATCTCTTTCATCTACTCCGTGGTGTGCCTGGTGGGGCTGTGTGGGAACTCTATGGTCATCTACGTGATCCTGCGCTATGCCAAGATGAAGACGGCCACCAACATCTACATCCTAAATCTGGCCATTGCTGATGAGCTGCTCATGCTCAGCGTGCCCTTCCTAGTCACCTCCACGTTGTTGCGCCACTGGCCCTTCGGTGCGCTGCTCTGCCGCCTCGTGCTCAGCGTGGACGCGGTCAACATGTTCACCAGCATCTACTGTCTGACTGTGCTCAGCGTGGACCGCTACGTGGCCGTGGTGCATCCCATCAAGGCGGCCCGCTACCGCCGGCCCACCGTGGCCAAGGTAGTAAACCTGGGCGTGTGGGTGCTATCGCTGCTCGTCATCCTGCCCATCGTGGTCTTCTCTCGCACCGCGGCCAACAGCGACGGCACGGTGGCTTGCAACATGCTCATGCCAGAGCCCGCTCAACGCTGGCTGGTGGGCTTCGTGTTGTACACATTTCTCATGGGCTTCCTGCTGCCCGTGGGGGCTATCTGCCTGTGCTACGTGCTCATCATTGCTAAGATGCGCATGGTGGCCCTCAAGGCCGGCTGGCAGCAGCGCAAGCGCTCGGAGCGCAAGATCACCTTAATGGTGATGATGGTGGTGATGGTGTTTGTCATCTGCTGGATGCCTTTCTACGTGGTGCAGCTGGTCAACGTGTTTGCTGAGCAGGACGACGCCACGGTGAGTCAGCTGTCGGTCATCCTCGGCTATGCCAACAGCTGCGCCAACCCCATCCTCTATGGCTTTCTCTCAGACAACTTCAAGCGCTCTTTCCAACGCATCCTATGCCTCAGCTGGATGGACAACGCCGCGGAGGAGCCGGTTGACTATTACGCCACCGCGCTCAAGAGCCGTGCCTACAGTGTGGAAGACTTCCAACCTGAGAACCTGGAGTCCGGCGGCGTCTTCCGTAATGGCACCTGCACGTCCCGGATCACGACGCTCTGAGCCCGGGCCACGCAGGGGCTCTGAGCCCGGGCCACGCAGGGGCCCTGAGCCAAAAGAGGGGGAGAATGAGAAGGGAAGGCCGGGTGCGAAAGGGACGGTATCCAGGGCGCCAGGGTGCTGTCGGGATAACGTGGGGCTAGGACACTGACAGCCTTTGATGGAGGAACCCAAGAAAGGCGCGCGACAATGGTAGAAGTGAGAGCTTTGCTTATAAACTGGGAAGGCTTTCAGGCTACCTTTTTCTGGGTCTCCCACTTTCTGTTCCTTCCTCCACTGCGCTTACTCCTCTGACCCTCCTTCTATTTTCCCTACCCTGCAACTTCTATCCTTTCTTCCGCACCGTCCCGCCAGTGCAGATCACGAACTCATTAACAACTCATTCTGATCCTCAGCCCCTCCAGTCGTTATTTCTGTTTGTTTAAGCTGAGCCACGGATACCGCCACGGGTTTCCCTCGGCGTTAGTCCCTAGCCGCGCGGGGCCGCTGTCCAGGTTCTGTCTGGTGCCCCTACTGGAGTCCCGGGAATGACCGCTCTCCCTTTGCGCAGCCCTACCTTAAGGAAAGTTGGACTTGAGAAAGATCTAAGCAGCTGGTCTTTTCTCCTACTCTTGGGTGAAGGTGCATCTTTCCCTGCCCTCCCCTGTCCCCCTCTCGCCGCCCGCCCGCCACCACCACTCTCACTCCACCCAGAGTAGAGCCAGGTGCTTAGTAAAATAGGTCCCGCGCTTCGAACTCCAGGCTTTCTGGAGTTCCCACCCAAGCCCTCCTTTGGAGCAAAGAAGGAGCTGAGAACAAGCCGAATGAGGAGTTTTTATAAGATTGCGGGGTCGGAGTGTGGGCGCGTAATAGGAATCACCCTCCTACTGCGCGTTTTCAAAGACCAAGCGCTGGGCGCTCCCGGGCCGCGCGTCTGCGTTAGGCAGGGCAGGGTAGTGCAGGGCACACCTTCCCCGGGGTTCGGGGTTCGGGGTTCGGTTGCAGGGCTGCAGCCCGCCTTGGCTTTCTCCCTCACCCAAGTTTCCGGAGGAGCCGACCTAAAAGTAACAATAGATAAGGTTTCCTGCTCCAGTGTATCTCAAAAGACCGGGCGCCAGGGGCGGGGGACCTAGGGCGACGTCTTCAGAGTCCGCCAGTGTTGGCGGTGTCGCCGCAACCTGCAGGCTCCCGAGTGGGGCCTGCCTGGTCTCTAGAGGGTTGCTGCCTTTCAAGCGGTGCCTAAGAAGTTATTTTCTTGTTTAACATATATATTTATTAATTTATTTGTCGTGTTGGAAAATGTGTCTCTGCTTTCCTTTTCTCTGCTTGCCTAGCCCCAGGTCTTTTCTTTGGGACCCTGGGGGCGGGCATGGAAGTGGAAGTAGGGGCAAGCTCTTGCCCCACTCCCTGGCCATCTCAACGCCTCTCCTCAATGCTGGGCCCTCTTATCTCATCCTTTCCTCTAGCTTTTCTATTTTTGATTGTGTTGAGTGAAGTTTGGAGATTTTTCATACTTTTCTTACTATAGTCTCTTGTTTGTCTTATTAGGATAATACATAAATGATAATGTGGGTTATCCTCCTCTCCATGCACAGTGGAAAGTCCTGAACTCCTGGCTTTCCAGGAGACATATATAGGGGAACATCACCCTATATATAATTTGAGTGTATATATATTTATATATATGATGTGGACATATGTATACTTATCTTGCTCCATTGTCATGAGTCCATGAGTCTAAGTATAGCCACTGATGGTGACAGGTGTGAGTCTGGCTGGAACACTTTCAGTTTCAGGAGTGCAAGCAGCACTCAAACCTGGAGCTGAGGAATCTAATTCAGACAGAGACTTTAATCACTGCTGAAGATGCCCCTGCTCCCTCTGGGTTCCAGCAGAGGTGATTCTTACATATGATCCAGTTAACATCATCACTTTTTTTGAGGACATTGAAAGTGAAATAATTTGTGTCTGTGTTTAATATTACCAACTACATTGGAAGCCTGAGCAGGGCGAGGACCAATAATTTTAATTATTTATATTTCCTGTATTGCTTTAGTATGCTGGCTTGTACATAGTAGGCACTAAATACATGTTTGTTGGTTGATTGTTTAAGCCAGAGTGTATTACAACAATCTGGAGATACTAAATCTGGGGTTCTCAGGTTCACTCATTGACATGATATACAATGGTTAAAATCACTATTGAAAAATACGTTTTGTGTATATTTGCTTCAACAACTTTGTGCTTTCCTGAAAGCAGTAACCAAGAGTTAAGATATCCCTAATGTTTTGCTTAAACTAATGAACAAATATGCTTTGGGTCATAAATCAGAAAGTTTAGATCTGTCCCTTAATAAAAATATATATTACTACTCCTTTGGAAAATAGATTTTTAATGGTTAAGAACTGTGAAATTTACAAATCAAAATCTTAATCATTATCCTTCTAAGAGGATACAAATTTAGTGCTCTTAACTTGTTACCATTGTAATATTAACTAAATAAACAGATGTATTATGCTGTTGCAAGTTGTTTTTGCTATTTGAATTTTATTGTTTCAATGGATTACTTGGTAACACACACACACACACACACACACACACACACACTAGCTTAGTTGACTTACTTGTCACTTAGGTTTTAAGAAGAATGTTTTCAGATTACTTTTGGGAATTTTACCAAGTTTGTGGTTATACCCTGAATTATTTTGTTAAAAAGAAAAGTCGGCTAGTTCAGAAAGGGAGAGAGAGGTAGACAGAGAGAAAGAAGAAAAAGTTGAGCCAGGATGAACAGGAAGCAATGCACTCAGTTGCACTCTGTTGTCACCAAACTAAGTGGATGATATCTTAATCTCTCGCAGATAAAATTACTGTCTACCCCCATTTATAACCTCAGACTTTTTTTTGGGAACTAAGTAATTGCTGATTTACAACCTGAGGAAAGACAACGGAAGGGGAAAACTATCTCCTAAAGATGTCCCAGAAGACAGTGGCAAAATAAATAGAAAAATCAGATTTTGACATAGGAGATGGACGTATTTTCTGCCTTGTTCAGTGATGGCCATATCAATCTCTGGAGAATGTAAGAAATCATTAGGGAAGTTTGTTTGTTTTTAACAGACTTGATCTTTTTAGAGCAGTTTTATTTTCATATCAAAATGAGCAAAAAGGACTATTTTCCAAGCAGGTAATAGCAGTGATTCCAGAAGCAGAGTTGGGGATGGAGAGTTCAAATGCCTTCAAATGCCCTGTGACTCTATGCTTTATATGGTTCTATACATCATCACAATATGATTAAGGATAACTGGACTTTCATCATTTCTATTATTTTTTTCTCTCACTATGCAAGTCTCTTTTATTATTTTTAAAAGCTGCAGCAAGGTGGCAAATTAAACTCATAACTTAGACGTGCAGAGAAAACCTATTTTGTCATTTGGTTTCAACTAATCTGAACAAAATTCCAAGCTCCTTCCAATGCATTAGCTGGGGAAAAAAATTAAACAAATAGTCAAACATCCAGTTGAGCTGATAATTTAAATAGCCATTAAAAAATTAAAAATTTCATTTGAATAAGTTTGGACAGCCTCTCAGCTAGCCTCCTCTTTCTCTTTTGACATCCCTAAAATGGCTTTAGAATGAATATGAGGAGGAGGTTTTATGCATGCTACTGGAGGAAGGGATAAGGTCAAGTCCTTGGGATAGGGGCCCTCTCTTCCTTTTGCTCTCTGGGGCCAGGTCCTTTGTGTACCTTTCTGCTTCCTGGCTGAAGTTTGTTGAAGTCTGCAGCTGTCAGAGCCTGTGAATCAACCTCTCAGCTTGGGGAGGCCTGCACTTCAGTTCCTGTGGGCTGCAGCTTTCTCTGAGTCTTCTATGGCCCCAGTATAGTCCACTAGCCCAGTGGTCTCCCCCAGCCTCTGCTGAGAAGTTATCTCACCCTGCCACAGAGGCCACATGGTAAAATTCTTGGCTCAGTGAATACAGGGGACCTCAGTGGCTGTAGACTGGCAACCCTTAGAATCTACTCGACCTGACTATGCCTGTCTTCTTTTCTGTGGCTTTCAGGTCTTCTTTATCCCTCTTTACTTTTGTCAACATTACTTATTAAAACATTCCACTCTCCCCACCTCACCTTTACACTAGAGAAAAAAGATAGTAGTTGAGTCCTTCAGTCTTACCCCTTGATGTGCTGTAGCAGGAAAAGTATTTAGTAATCTCTCCTGCCCCTCCCCTAAACACACACCTACCTGATTTCCAAGCATGTTTGCATTACCTATAAAGAAGGTGGAGTCAAGCCCTCTCCTTTCCTAATGTAATGAGCCTGTCCTCAGGGAGAGAGACTAAAATGAAACATGATTTATAGAAATTAAAACATATTAGTTTAATGTCTGTGAATTATTATCTTTTTTATAAGTGGCCTTTGTGTTCCCAGAGTAGCATTTCCCAGGTCATCTTCTTACATAGTACCCACAGAAAAGGATCACACTTGAAAACCTTTGACTCCTCATCCATTTTAATTCCGACCATTGTACAAAAATGTTGAATGTGTAATTTTGGCCTGAGAAAAAAGACAAGAATTTCACCTGGAGAATAGTAGGGATGATTCATTTTTAAAATGGCAATATATTTCCAGTCTATTTTAAACAAATAATAGAGATGTCATATTTGTATTGATCTGAAAAAACACTTTAACAATGGGATTCTGTTTTGAAAATCTTGTTCATTCCCTTTTTTATTCCAACGTACAACATCAGAGTGAAGTATTAACTGAAATAATTAATAGATGTTCATATAACTTTGCCTGTAGCACACATAACTGTGGTGGGTACTTACAAAATACAGTATTGCAAAGTCTTTGTTTCTCTCTCGTTGCACCACACAACTTTGAGCTAAGGAGAACCTCTTACACATATGCAGATGGATATCTTGCTTTTTATTCAATAAATTTCAGTTTGTTGGCTTTAAAAGAAGACAGTTTCCACATTGTTGAAATGACATGGTTTCCCAAGGAGAAGGCAGGTACAGAGATAATGTTGTAAGTGATCACTTATTATTTTGCTAAATATCTGGAGACAAGGTATTAGAGTGAGCATACTTGTAAAATGACTGTGTTAGGAATGATCAAATACAGCCCAGCTTCTGATATCAACTAGAAAAGAAGGGGTTCTGCAAGTATGACAAAGTTGAGGAGGCCTATGAACTGAATAAGCCAGTTAAAAGTAAAATATCAAAATGCCTCCTTGTCATACTGTTGGGGAGAGAGGAGCATCATCTAAAGAAAAAGATATAATTTTAAATAAAATTATTAAAACTTCGGTAGAATGTTCACTTTTATAATAAACATAATTATTGTCAAAACATACCTTAAAATCGATTGGATTAGCCAAAAACTAGAAACATTTAAGACCTAGACTACAGGCATGTTACCAGAACTCTTAGGAGTAATGAGGAACTTAAAACTTTAAAAATAAATGCCTCTTTAAGCCAGGTTGATCTAAGTCTTCAATTTTGAGTGGACAAGAAGTATGAAAGAAAATGAGAAGTGGGAAATGCTATCAGTTAGCATATTAACTTGTCACTGAATAACTCTAGCCCACCCTCAGTGCCTACATGCTTGGAAATGTTAACAACAAGACTTCAAGTATTCCCAGCTTTAAGAATTTAAGAATACAAAAACTATATGCTAGATTCCACTTAAAGGAAGACATGTTATACAGAGGAGGTCACAGTAGAATATTATGTACAAAAACAGTTCTGACTTTCAACAAATAATACCTATCTCAAAAGGCAACTGATACTTCCCATAAATTTAAAGAGAGAGAGAGAAAAAAAACAAACCAAGACATGATAGGCAAGCAGGACAATATTTTACAATAGCACACATGACTTCCATAACTATTCTGTGAAAGAATGTCCAAATATTGATGAATAATAACTCTCACTCTGTTCTTTCTGTCTCTACAACACTTGAACAACTATTAATCTAGCTAATCTTATTAACAGTGGCAAAATGTCTATTCAAAGTCAATAATTAAGTTAAACATTCTCCTTTATGTCCAATGAGCCACTGTAACTAGCAAACCAAAATGTCTGTATGTCTTTTTCAAAAGATTTTCAAGTCTTCCTATGTATAAACTCTGGCACCTGAAATTAACATACACACACATTCACACACACACACACACACACACACACACACACACAATTATTAATTAAACAAAAAGGAACTTCTTAGGCAATAATTGGTGAAATAGAACTTCAAGACTGTCTTTTTTCCCTTTTCCCTTTTTAGCTCCCATTTCTACCCCTCCTTCCCCCAGCTCAGGACCTCATGTTTTCTGATTTTCCCCACTTCTCCCAATAAAGTTCTTCTCAGAAAAGGATTTACATTGATTTATAATTTACATAACTGACAAAGCTTCAAGTATTATTCCTCCAGAAGCAGGACTTTTTAATAAGGGCACAGTATCAGAAAATCAGGCAGCAGAATCCCTAAAATCGCATGTTCCTGTAAGGCAAATGTTTCTCAACAAGTGATCCATAATTCCAGCATTAGAATCACCTGAGAACTTATAAAAAATTCATGGCCTCTATGTCTTACCCACAGATATTTTGATTAATTAGTTCTGAGGTAGATTTCAATTCTCAATGATTCTAAAGTACAATAAAGTTTGAGTACTAATAATTTAAGTGTTAAGAGCATGGAGTTTGCCATCAGCAGATGTGGCTCTGCTTTCTTTGTTGTGTAATACTGGGCAACTTAATCTTTGTGAATCACATTTCATTCGTCTATAAGGTCAAGATAATGACATCTCTTCCATAGGGCTGTTGTGGTGAGACAAGGCATGTCAAATGCTAAATCAGTCAACTTTTTTAGTATGAAAACTCAATTAGCTCACATGTGTGAAAAGTCTTGAGAAGATCTGGCTTCAGGGTGCACTTGACCCAAAACTCACTAGAATCTTTTTTCAGTCTCCATTGCTCATCCCTGATTTGTGCCATGTTGGCTTCATACTCAGCCTGGCTATTCTTTTGTGGTAAGACAGATGCAGAAAGTAAAACATGTCTTCTTTCCAGGTTCAAATTTCAAACGAAAGAGAAAATGTTATTTTCTCTTTTGGGCTGTCTGAGAACATTTATCTGTTGGGAGGCACTCCTCTCTTGGTTTCTTATACATTTTGCTGAGTATGCCAAGAATGTGAGGCCCTGACTGCTGACTGTTCTGTACCTGGATTATTTCTCAAGGTTGTGTTTGCAGCAAGCAATCTTGAGCAATCAGTTAACGTCTCTTTCAAGGTCAGAAAGAAGGCTTGGTCCCTGCTTGCTATAAAGTGGTGGTTTATCCAAGATCAGTGTCCTTCAAATGTGACAAAAACCCACTGCTACACAGCATCCATCTGGGCTCATAGTGCATCACCCATATGAGAATGGGAGGCAAAGAGAACTAATGCAAATCATGCTTGCTGGCTGTGCCATAAGCAATAAAGTCCTCTGCCTGACCCAGGAATCTTGTATCTTCTGCCAACCTCTATTAAACAGCAACAGACTAACTTATTAGCTTGTAAGGAAGGTGAGTAAAATTCCAGAATGTGACAGCGTCTGCCACTGAATTCATTAGCAAAGTCTGAGGAATATGGCTGGCTGGCCTGGATGATATAATCTACCCTTGGAGATAGCAGTGTCAACTTTACCCAGAAATGGGAGGGTAGCAGGGTCGATTTCAAGAGGAATAAATTGAGATAAAATTACCCAAAGTATGTAATGAATGGTAGTTGCATGGCAACAAACAAACAGCAACAACAACAAAATCAAGCACCATCTACAACTGCCAGGCATATTAAGAGCTCAGTAAATTGAAGATACTATTATTATTATTATTAATCATTATTGGTGTTCTACAAGAGAAAGTGGAGAATTGAGGTGATTCAGGTTTTAAAATGCTTCTACATGATCTAGCCATATAAAATTACTTAGACAGTGTTAGATTTACTTTAAACAAACAACACTTTGTTTCATTTCTTTGCATGTAAGTACCACTGAAAGCTGAGCGAAATATATTTGTATTTATGCATTTTTTTCTATGATAAAGGACACTAGTGATGTTATTTATTTGGGAAATTCAAAATATCTCATAAATGTTAAAAGGATTTTGATCTAGAAATTAACAGATTCCATATGGCCTCAAGAAAATTAATCAGTCTTTACATTAGATTCTACAGCTTTAAAATCAGATTAGATATTAATCCAGGTTAGTAACATTTTGTTACATTTTCATAAGATTAATAATATTATTTAAATATGTTTAAAAATAACTTGATAAAATCATTTTAATGTTACACATAGCATAATGTTAAGCATATTGAAGATGGCACTGAAGTTAGCAGCATATAGGAATAAAACACAAAGTGATATGCAAAGGTTTGGCAGGGCTAGATGTGAAACCACACTTTATCATCAACAATTGTGGGAAAGTTTGCTTTAAACATAATTTTAAGTAACATAAATAAGGTAGCCCACCACAACCAGAGATGGGTACCAATGATTAGTAAAATAGTATCCAAATAAGCTTCCTTCATTTTTCCTGTGGCTTACACATATAGCTATGCCATACATTTGGGACCCTAAAACACCATTGTGAAGATAACCAGTTCCCATGAATTAGACTGACAGTTCAGTTCCCTTCAGATTTCATAGCAGTTACATAAAACTGTCAGTAACCAGAGTTTAAAATACAGCAGCGGGGCAGGCAGAGAAGGAACATTTACTCAGTATCTACTTTGTAAGTGACACATTTTGCTAAGTGCTTTACATTTTATCCCATTTAGTTTTCCCCAAGATTCCTGTGAATTAGAAATCTTCATTTCTTATACAAGGAAGGTTGTGTGTGTGTGTGTGTGTGAGAGAGAGAGAGAGAGAGAGAGAGAGAGAGAGAGAGAGAGAGAGAGAACTTGCCCAGCACATAAAAGCTGATAGGTGATAGAAACAGAACCAGGAGTACTGGAAACCAGATCAATTTGACTCCAAGAACAATGATCCTCTATCAATTGAAGTCCTTTTAAATGGCACATAAATGTCATTCTGCAAACTATCTAAAATTGGGAAAATTTTGACTGTTGTTTCAGGATTCCCCCATTACAGTGACCAACAACAAAATGTACCACCCTACTCATGATCTCTACCTAAAGTATAATAAGCTAAATAATCGGTAAATACTAAAACAGCTATATTTCCCACAGAAATGAGTCAGATTGCTTAGGAGAAAAACTAGTTTCACTGCTAAGTCAAATGTGCCCATTTCAAGAACTCCATATGATACACATAAGGCCACACCATACATGCCCCTCCTTCTAATTAGGGAAGCAGTGCCACAGTGCAGTGATTAAGTAGGTGGGATCAAGAATCAGAATGCATTGTTTAGAATCTTGGCTTTGGAAAATCACTGGTTATTGTTTACAGAAAAATCTTAGACAAATTATGTTTAACAGAGTTTAATTGAGCACAGAATGATTCACAAATTGGGCAGCCCCCAAATGACAATAGGTTCAGAGAGATTCCAGTGTAGCCACATGGTGAAAAATTTATGGACAGAGAAAGAAAGCAGGCTACAGAAAATGGAAGTGAGGTACAGATTGGCTACAGCCCAGTGTTTGCCTTATTTGAACATGGTTTGAATGGTTGACTACATTTGATTAGCCAAAACTCAGTGACTGGCACAACAGTAGGTTACAGTCTGTTTGCACATCCACTAAGGTTACAGTTCACTATGTACAGAGAAACTTTGAGGCCAAACTTAGAATATATAAGGAGGCAGCTTTGGGCTAAACAATTCCTCCCTTTTGGTCATCACTCAATATTGAGAGATTGACCAAAACTTTAGGCTTCAATGTCACTCTGTCACCATTTAAAAGTGTACTTATTTGGTCTTAAATTTTACTGGAAAATAGTAGGAAATTAGGTTTGTAAGATGGAAACAAGGACTTCAGGTTATTTTTTCTTTAGCAATTTCCCTCTTTCAGTCAGTTTCTCACTTAGGTGAGAGTGTGACCAAAACATAGTACCTTCATGCCACACTCAGTTACCATCCTTTTGAGTTTCCAGTCTCACCACATCATTCACAAGTTATGGTGCCCACATTTTTCTTCTGAGCTTTTATCACCACAGTTGAAGAGAGCATTTGACATCCTTGACATGGCTGCATGCAAACATTTAAAACTTTTGAGAGAATACAGTGCACCAGGGAGACTATTATGTCTATCAGGAGGATAATACCAAGAGTTTAGGGTGTGCTCCTTAGCCAGGTCCCAGTGAAACAAACCAGCTAAAATAAATAGATCAAAGAATGGGCTAGATAAAACATCTACCATTTTCAACCAAGCAGCCTGCTCATTAATCTCCTATTACTGAATCTCTGTAACACCCAATGTATGCCTCTATGTGCAACTACAAGTATCAGCAACAGCAAAGATACTTCTCTGTTTAGCCAGTAAGTCATCTAGAGCAATTCTGTTATTTAGCATAACTTTAACAAGATAATTTTAAATCTGTTGTGAAACCATAGCCTTTGCAGTAGAATCTGTTAAAGAGCCCAGCGTGAGGGATAAATTTCTAACTATTGCCTCATTTACTCCAAACCATGGGAAAAGAGACCTAAAAAATGATGCCCATCCAGAAGAGCAAACGCCTCCTGGCAATGTACTCTTTAACTTATGCAGACAATGTTCTCTTTAATCTATGACGTAGTTTAAAGAGTGGACTGATGTTTTGTTTCTGATCAGTTATGAAGCAACAAAGGTGCCATTGATTCTGCCTTGTAGCCTCTGGTCTAGGTGTTGAGAACATATCTCTAGGCCTCACCATGACCATCTATCCAGACCCCTGAATCTAGAGGCTCAAAACTAAAAACATACATAAACTCACAGTCACATCAAGCAATTATTGAATTATATTTCACCAACAATTTTGAAGCCATTCCTATTTTACCAACAACTTAAAAACTAGCTTTATTTACCAAACATTATCATCAACAAATAACACATACAGACATAGAGACATAGAGACACATAGACAGAAGCAGATTTACAGCTTTCATAAAGTGTTCTCATTTGCTGGCTTTCAGATTTTTCCCCCCATTCAGACTATCACTCTTTCAATTGCCCCGTTTCATTGCCCTAAGCAATTGTTAGCTAGGCAACTCTAAATTTGCATTTCTAAAGGAACAGCTCAGGTGAAACAAGAAATTGTATATTTCAAAAACACATAGCTAAGATTTTAGGCCTAAATATAATAGCATCATTTGTTCAAACAAAGGAAAACCTGATGAAAGGATTCCCTATTTAATAAATGCTGCTGGGAAAACTGGCTAGCCATATGCAGAAAGCTGAAACTGGATCCCTTCCTTACACCTTATACAAAAATTAATTCAAGATGGATTAAAGACTTAAATGTTAGACCTAAAACCATAAAAACCCTAGAAGAAAACCTAGGCATTACCATTCAGGACATAGGCATGGGCAAGGACTTCATGTCTAAAACACCAAAAGCAATGGCAACAAAAGACAAAATTGACAAATGGGATCTAATTAAACTAAAGAGCTTCTGAACAGTAAATGAAAGTTCAATTAAGAGGAAATGGCCAGAAAAGCACCTTAAAGAAAGTATGACTTGTTATGTAAATTTAAAACAATAGCAAGCGTTTCTAATGAACACAGACAGATACCCTTATATATGGAGGTTTCCTTTATAGATGTAAATTTCTTTTACCAAAAGGTTTCAAGATAGCCAGTTAAATACCAGAAAAGTGCATTTTGGAGATCAATTTAGTTCAATAGGTAGCCTTTTAAGCTGCTATTTCTTAGATAAAAATTACTGAGTTCAAGGTGTAGCCCATTAAAAAAAATAGGGCAAAGACAGCTTTTTGGGTTTTTTTTTTTTAGTCAGAGTCTCATTGTGTTGCCCAGGCTGGAGTGCAATGGCACGATATCAGCTCACTGCAACCTCCACCTCCCGGGTTCAAGCAATTCGTCTGCCTCAGCCTCCTAAGTAGCTGAAATTACAGGCGCCCGCCATCACGCCCGGCTAATTTTTGTATTTTTAGTAGAGACGAGGTTTCACCACATTGGCCAGGCTGGTCCCTTGGTCAGGCTGGTCGTGAACTCCTGACCTCATGATCCGCCCGCCTCGGCCTCCCAAAGTGCTGGGATTACAGGTGTGAGCCACCGCGTTGGGCCCATCATTTTCTGTACCTTGAGTTAGCATGAATAGATCTGAAAAAGAGAAGATAAGCCTACTTTGCCTGAAGGCCTACTTTTTTTTTTTTTTTTTTTGACATTTACATGGTGTGGGGAAGGCTGGTTGGCCCACCTTAATCTTTTTATTTTTTATTTATTTTTATACTTTAATTTCTGGGGTACATGTGCGGAACGTGCAGTTTTGTTACATAGGTATACACGTGCTGTGGTGGTTTGCTGCACCTATCAACCTGTCACCTACATTAGGTATTTCTCCTAATGTTATCCCTCCCCTAGTCCCCGAGCCCCCAACAGGCCCCAGTGTGTGATGTTCCCCTCCCTATGTCCATGTGTTCTCATTGTTCAACTCCTACTTATGAGTGAGAACATGCGGTGTTTGGTTTTCTGTTCTTGTGTTAGTTTGCTGAGAATGATGGTTTCCCGCTTCATCCATGTCCCTGCAAAGGACATAAACTTATCCTTTTTTATAGCTGCATAGTATTTCATGGTGTATATGTGCCACATTTTCTTTATCTAGTCTATTATTGATAGACATTTGGGTTGGTTCTAAGTCTTTGCTATTGTGACTAGTGCCACAATAAACATACGTGTGCATGTGTCTTTATGGTAGAATGATTTATAATCCTTTGGGTATATACCCAGTAATGGGATTGCTGGGTCAAATGGTATTTCTAGTTCCAGATCCTTGAGGAATTGCCACACTGTCTTCCACAATAGTTGAACTAATTTGCACTCCCAACAGCCTAAAAGTGTTCCTATTTCTCCACATCCTCTCCAGCATCAAAACCACAATGAGATACAGTCTCACAACAGTTAGAATGGCGAACATTAAAAGGCCTACCTTTTATAAACACTTTATTCAAGATAGCTTTCTTTTCAACTTCGGGGTGGGATAGTAACTAAGCCAAAAGGTCAGCAGACTTAATTTTTCTTATCAATTAGTTGCTTACATTTTTTATTGATCTTTTATAGAGTCTTTTTTTAAAAGCAATAAAAATACTGAAATCTTCTTAGAAGCTTTTGCACATCAAGAGGCATCCCTAAATGAGACTAGGAAGCCCTCATTTTCAAATGCACTCTTCAAGTGCAGTGTTGTTCATTTGGAACATTCCACTGTAATTTTAAATTATCTTTAGTAAGATTTTGCCATTTCTATAAGCATTTGCTGCTTCTGGGGTCTAGTACTTATACCTAAAAATGTGGGCATAGCTGGAAGGTAGAGAACTCGGTTCTTTAGAAATTAAGGATCTCGCCTGTAATCCCAGCACTTTGGGAGGCCGAGGCGGGTGGATCACTAGGTCAGGAGATTGAGACCATCCTGGCTAACACGGTGAAACCCTGTCTCTACTAAAAATACAAAACATTAGCCAGGCGTGGTGGCGGGCGCCTGTAGTCCCAGCTACTGGGGAGGCTGAGGCAGGAGAATGGCGTGAACCCGGGAGGCGGAGCTTGCAGTGAGCCGAGATTGCACCACTGCACTCCAGCCTGGGCGACAGAGCGAGACTCCGTCTCAAAAAAAAAAAAAAAAAAAAAAAAAAAAATTAAGAATCTCATTTTTACCTTGAATACTGGCTTTGTCTCTCAGATCTCCTTGATCAAATTAGCCAATGATCTTTCCCTACCTAAGCACACAAGTAAAAGAAACAAGGGGGACAGACACAAAAGTCTCTGCAAATTTCTGAAAGCTGCAGTTTGCACACTCTGCATTATTACCATTTACTATCAGTTTCTGTCTGACTCAGTCAGACATCTGAGGCCTCTAACTGGATCCAAACCAGTTAATTATTGGATCCAATTCAATTCTGGACTTGATTCAGTTTCTCTTGTGATTTCCAAACCCAATTTGGATCAGAAATGTGCTCAAACAAACTCAGATAGCTCAAAACACCAATTTGTGGAGCTTCAGAATCTGAGAGAGGGAATTTAACCATGATCCCAATCCCTAGTGGCAAAACAATAGACACAGTGGGCCTGATGGGTACCTGGCTTGGTCATTCAGCACTCCTGGGAGTTACTTGAAGTGCTACTTCAAATCCCATTTCTGATACCATATGTTAAAAGAAAACCCTTAGACAAATTAATTTAACTAAGTTTAATTGAGCAAAGAACAATTTGCAAATTGGGAAGCCCTAAAACCAGAAAAGGTTCAGAGAGACTCCAGCATAGCCACATGGCAGAAGACTTATGAACAGCAAAAGAAGTGATGTACAGAAAAATGAAGTGATGTACAGAAAAATGAAGTGAGGTACAGAAGCAGCCAAATTGGTCACAGCCCACTGTTTGCCTGATTTGAACAGTTTGAACAGTTAGCCGCTACCTTTGATTAGCCAAAACTTGGTAATTGGCGCAAGAGTAGGTTACAATCTGTTTACACATCCAGTTAGGTTCATTAAGGACAGAGAAACCTTTAAGCCAAACTTAGAATATGTAAGGAGGCAGCTTTACGCTTAACTTAATTTAACACTATGTACCATGGGCAGGTTATTTGTTCACTCATGCCTCATACTGCTTAACTGAAAAATGAGAATAAAAATAATTTCTGTCCCACAATATTAGCAAAGTTATGTTTAAATTCTTTCAGCATTTTTACTTTAATAACCATTCTCATTTACATAACTGTCATAGAGATACCAATAGTTCAAGAACACCGAAAGCCCATAAACATTTTTGTTTTTACTTATAAAGATACAGTGAATATGTTCTAATTAATAGGAATTAAGTAATTAAGAAACATTAAAATAATTATTAAGCCTTTGTTGGCTATTAGAATAGGACAAATCCCTAGTGTTTAAAAAAGCTAAATTCTAGATGAGTAACATTAGTTCAGTCCCATAAACTACTATAAACAGATTTTAGGACATTAGTAATGAGTAAGGATTTTTTCCCCTCTATTTAAACTAGTAAATTCTGCTATAGCAGTAATGTATGGTAATTGAAAAGCATTAAACAAAATCTTTTTATCAGGCACTTTTCCCAATTAAGAGGTCATACTATTTATCAGAATACCAATTAAATAGAATTCACTGAATTATTCAAGTGAACAGAGTCTGGTTAAGGAAAGAGGAGAAACTCAGAAAAAAAAATACTTCTCAAATATTGAAAACTGATATTACGAAACTGTAAAACAACTTATTTTCTTGTAAATTTTTCTTATAAATTATCTCATTGAATCCACAAGCAGAAGAGTGAACATGCAAAACAAAGAGGTAAATAGGCAAAATAAAATTTCAAACAGCTGTGGAGACTTTAAAGCTGGGGTCTACCAAACATTCCTCTCAAATGAGTGCTGTCTCACCTGCAGCTGCATCTTGTCTCATTTGCAAACCTAGGATGGATCCATAAGAATAAAATTGATGACTACATCAATTTCTCTGAGTTTTAATCCTTTCCTTATGATAGCATCTTCCCCAAAGTGAGAATCTCTAGAATCATCACAACGAACATCTGGTTACATTCCTGTTCAAGATAAAATAAAACTGACTCCACTCTTAATTGAACATACATTTAAATTTTCCCTTCATTTTTCTGACAAAAGCACGGGAAGGAACAAGGAGAAGAACATGGCAAACCAAGTGAAGGGTTCTTGCAAAAATAACCAGCCATGAGGAAGATGGAAGGTCAACCAGGATTTGCTTGGGCAAGACACAGTTTTTGTTCTCATTTTCAAAAACACAGATGGAAGAAACTTGATTATCTAGTTGTTTTCTATTGGCCTATAAATTCCTCAGGGGACATTTCCTCAACGTTTAACCATCCACATACCACAACTAAAGGGCAACAGTACACACTAGTTAGGAACAGCAACTGTGGCACTCAGCTGCTTAACAGCTGCGTGACCTCAGGTCAATAACTTCATTTCGTCATCTTAGATTTAGTTTTCTCATCTATAAAATGGAGCAAATCATGGTACTTACATCATAGGATTGTTGTAAAGATTAAATAAGTTAATATTTGCAAAGTTCTTAGACAAAACTTGACACATGGTCAGTTTTTAAGCACTCAACAAAATATCCTTATATTGAATTGGTGGGTTTATTAGGAAAAGGCAAAATTTTGAAGTCATTAATGCTGGTATTGGGAACAATTGCCTATTTCTTGAGAGTCTCTCTCCCTGCTTTTGGTCTTCTAGAGTCTTCCTCACGTAAGCATGTTAAGGCAAACTAAATATGATCTGAGAAGGACTCTGTACTTGTATATTTGAGTCCTGGTGGATGAACTGTAACCTAGCTTAATAGTCAGACAAAATTGAAAACCTAACAGGAGTATGTGCCTGTAACAATAACTGAGTCTTGGCCAATCCCAGTGGCCACACTTCAACCACTCATAGACTGCTAAGTGTTCAAACCATGTTCAAATAAGGTAAATGCCAACCTGTAACCCATCCAGCTGCTTCTCTACCTCACGGCCAATTTCTGAACATCATTTCCCTTTTTTCGTCTATAAGTCTTCTTCTACCACGTGGCTGCACTGGAGTCTCTGTGAATCTGCTGTGATTCTGGGGGCTGCCCGATTCACAAATTGTTCATTGCTCAATTAAATTCCTTTAAATTTAATTTGGCTGAAGTTTTTCTTTTATCCAACACCTCACACTCACGTGCCAACTAATTTTTCTGAAGTACAAGTTATTGATGACTTAAATTATTAATTCCTTTATTCTTAGTGTGTTGGCTTTTTAAGGGAAATAACAATGGTTTTCTAACTTTGCTGCACATCAAATATACCTGGGAATCTTTAAAAAGTTTGAAGTCCCAATGTCCAGCTTTAGAAACTTCTGAAAACTAGGCCCAGGCATTCATATTTAAACAAGGTTTCCTTGGGACTCTGACACTGGCAGTGTCAGTAACTGGTATTTGGGAAACTTCAAGTATAGAAAATTTGAAAGGCTTCACAGAGGAAGGTACTGCATTTTAGTGAAGGAATTTGGAGTGCTGTGGTTAGTCTATTGGTGGTAGAGGAAGTATTTTTTTTTGCAGTATGGAAACCTCTTTTGGCTGTTAAAATTGCATTATGCCATCATTAAAGTTGCTTGGTAACCCTAGTCGTTTTTCAGAAGCCTTCATGTAAACTTACCAAGTACAAGAGTGTTGCTGCCAACCCCTTTTTTACTGGTATCATTTTCAAGGGTAATAGAAAATATTTATTCTGATATTCCTCTTTAATATTCTTCCCACAAATACTTCTCTTCAAGGGAATCAGATTTATTAAATGAGTACATTTCCATAGCTTTCCTTTCTACATCCTTCAATACTCCCTTGGGTCTTGGTTCATGTTCCATCAGTTACTTAAAATTAAATAATGAGTAAAAAAGTATGCTTAACCTTCTGCATCTTTTTCTAGTCATCTCATGTAATTATCATATGCAATATAAAAATCCAATTTACAAAGTACTTTGAGATCCCTGAGCAAAAAGGGGACTTTGTTTCTTGGGTGTTTTAGTTCATTAACTGCTGTAAGGAATAGAGAATATACTGAGGCCTGAGAAAGTTGTGGTTGTGACTACTGGGATTAATATGGTGATGATGAGAATGGCTATTATTATCTCCATCATTCTTATTATGAACTCCTGGCTGGGCAACTGTAGTTAGCAGCTTCAAAGTAGTGGCTTATTAGCTTTTAGATGAGAAACTGTAGGGTCTCCCTGAATATTTAAGGCCACGATAAAAAGAATGAAATAGAGAATTAATGACTTGGAAAAAAATCAAAACGACAGATATGGCTCTGAAAGAAGAATATAGGATCTATCTTTAATATATCAGGACAATATTTAGCCTAGGTATAAAAGTATAGTGGATCAAACATCAAAAAATAGCTCAAATAAATGTAGTGTTTCATTTGTTTCCCATAAGCTACATAAAACTAGAAAAATAAACATTGACTGATAATGTGGAATAAAAGACACTTTGCAAAGAACTTTTCAGCAGTAGGAAAACCCTTTTTTTATTTGGTCAAAAGTGTTAGGGAAGGAAAACCAATGCTTATGAGACCAAATGCACTTAATGTATTTCTTACAGTCTTTAGTAATAAATAATAAAATATTTTTAGTACTGGGAACAACTTCTTCTTTACAAAAGTTACACCTCTTCATTACTATTTACTATCATGTTTTGTTATGACTTAAAGGTTACTTCCAAGTTAGAAAACGTGTATTTTAATATTATATTCAGTAGTTTAAAAATTCATACAATATTCTTAGAAATCAAGAATTTGTGATAATATGACTACGAATACCTTGACTTGGCATCCTTGTTTTAATTATTGCTCCCCAACAATGTTTTATTTCTTTCAGAAACATTGTAAATTTTAGATAGCAAATTTGCAATTATAGATTCTTAAATTAGTATTCTTGTTGTATTTATTTTATTTCATTGCTGAAATAATATACTATTTGTGGATTAACATCCCTAGGCAAGTAATATTGGTTAAGGATACTTTTCACAACACAAGCATTATAACAAAAAGCTCCTTAAAAAATGTGCTTTTCTATTACCTTGGGATTTGCTTTTTTATGAATTCAGAATACCCTTGTATGAGCCATCATTCATATTGGCCAAGAAAGTCCCATCTTGGTTGTTAGGAATTGAATATTATTTGTCTTTGTTTATAGTCTAAATAAACAATCTCAGAAATTTTTAGTATGAAAATGAGAAGACATTGAGAAATATTAATTTATTTCACATAGTTAGAGAGGTATTTGGTAGCACTGAGTGTTGATATATTTATTAAACAAATTCCTTACAGAATTTGATTTTTGTTAGAGCACATGAGTCTTCAGGTTATCATGAAAATTACACTATATCTTATAAATTGGATAGCTAATGATTGACAGATTTCTTAGTTGATTTATGTGTTGGTTGAAAAATAATTAAATTAAAAATCTACATAATGTTTCTAGATTCCCATTTCCAGAATTTATTTTATACCTCAGTGTCCAAAGTTAAATAAAAAGATTCATCAAAGTTATAAATAAAAGGAAGTACTAGCATAAGTTAGTGGAGAATATAATTCTTTTTGCACTAAACAGTGCTGTAAGGAAGTAATCTAGAATTGCATTTAAATAAGTCAACATATTTAAGTTTAAATCTTAACGTCTTAGTGTAAATCTGAAGTAGACACAATTATTCTTGCTGCATATTTATCAACAATGTAATTAGAAACTCCCCCCCCTTTTTTTTTTGAGACGGAGTCTGTCTCTGTCGCCAGGCTGGAGTGCAGTGGTGCAATCTCAACTCACTGCAACCTCCACCTCCCACGTTCAAGCAATTCTCCTGCCTCAGCCTCCCAAGTAGCTTGGACTACAGGTGCATGCCACCATGCCCAGCTAATTTTTGTATTTTTAGGAGAGATAGGGCTTCACCGTTTTGGCCAGGATGGTCTCGATATCCTGACCTCATGATCCACCCACCTCGGCCTCCCAAAGTGTTGGGATTACAGGCGTGAGCCACCGTGCTGGGCCTGAAACTCCCCCTTTTTAAAATTAACTATTGCCACTGCCTTTGAAAGAGGCTTTCTTTCTTTTAAGGGTAGTTTTGGACCCACAAAGGATAGATAAGTACTACAGTTTCTAGGTTAGTATTTGAAATAACAGATCAAAGTAAATGTAATGGTTTCTAAAACTTTGTTAAATTTTAGATCCTCTTTGAGTACAAAATCCTTTTTAAAAATTCCATTTTGGGTGGGCACGGTGGCTGACACCTGTAATCCCATCACTTTGGAAGGCTGAGGTGGTAGATCACCTGAGGTCAGTTCGAAACCAGCCTGGCAATATGGTGAAACCCTGTCTCTACTAAAAATACAAAAATTAGCTGGGCATGGTGGTATGCGCCTGTAATCTCAGCTACTTGGGAGGCTGAGGCAAGAGAATTGTTTGAACTCAGGAGGTGGAGGTTGCAGTGAGTCAAGATTGCACCATTGCACTCCAGCCTGGGCAACAGAGCTAGACACCATCTCAAAAACAAAAAACAAAAAACAAAAAACAAAAAAAAAAACCTCCCATTTTGTAGAAAGGTGGAGAAATTTTTATCCATATGGCATTAAATATTCTGACAAATATGGAAATGCAATAAAGATACAGTCGTTAGTGAACAAATAATGCTTGTCATTGTGTTCTCATTCACACAAGAAACACTTCAAATTACTTACAACCTAGAACAAGACAGACAAGTTCCTACTTTTATGGGATTTATATTTTAATGAGGCAAGACAGACAGTGAACAGATACAGTAAGTAGAAACATGTTAAGAGCTATGATAAAGATAAAACAAGGTGATATGAACTAGTGTTTCTGGGACACTAAGATTGAGTGGTCAGAAAATGCCCTTCTGAGTGGATGATATTTAAGGCAGGTATTGAATGACATGGAGGAGGTTGTCCTGGGAAGGTCAGAGGGACAGGACACTCCCAGCTGAGGACCTAATATGTGAAAGATATATTCCAGAGACAAACTGGAGATTGAGCAGAGGAGGGTGAGCCGGGAAAGGAGACATAGCCAGCAAGGAAGGAGGAAAATTAGCAGAGGAAACTGTTCCATAAAAAGGAGTGGTGAACAGTGTGAAATGCCTATGAGAAATTTAGTGAGATAAGGACGATCAAGTGACCATTAAATTTGACGGAATGTAGGTTGTTACTGATCTAATATTGCACAGTTTCAGAAGAATAGAGAGTGGTCCAAGGAAAGAATGTAAGGGAGAGAAAATGGTTGTAGCAACATAGTCAACACTTTTTGAAAGGTTTTTCTCCAAAAGGGAACGGAGAAATACAGTAGAAGCTGGAGGATAAAATCAAAGAAACCTGCTTATGCTAGTTGGAATAAATCAGTACAGAGGGATAAATTGATAAACAAAAGGATTTTTCAGAATGTGAGTCCTGAATTAGGAGAGGCATGTGTTCGAGAGCATGCATGCAGGGCCTGGTTTTGGGAGAAGCAGGGATGCATCACCTCTGGTAATGGAAAACATGAGAAAGTGGGTGCACAGAGGGTGATTTGCATCATAGGATGGAGGTTGGAAGACTGAGGAGATATGAAAATTGTGACACAATCTTACTTTGGAGAGTGGGAAGTGAGCTCTGATTAAAGTATAAGGATAACAAATCAGTATGGAATACCCAGTAAAGATCTGTGGTCCTGAGTTTAAATTGAAATCAGTCAGGAGAAATTCATGCTTTTCTCCAGGCCTGTTCAGCTGCCTGTATGGAATAAAAGATAACCAGAGTTAGAGGTTTTTTATGGAAAATAAAATGGTGGAAAAGAAGAGCAAGAGAGTTAAATGTATTTTTGAATGTTGCTATAATGATGTAGTATGAAATATCAGGTGAATAAAGAGGAAAAAATGAGAGATCACAAATAATAAGCAAGAATAAAGATCAGTGATTTGGAGAACTTGTTAAGATCAAAG
Source organism: Homo sapiens (assembly GCF_000001405.40). Lineage (NCBI taxonomy): Eukaryota > Metazoa > Chordata > Mammalia > Primates > Hominidae > Homo > Homo sapiens. The sequence continues at coordinate 38,232,176 of NC_000014.9, forward strand.
CATAGCTGGAGTAGGAATGAGAGAGAAAGATGGGCAGGAAGTCTGAAGAATTAGATACAGAAAATTGAGGGAGCAGTACAATTATCAGTGATTTAAAAGGTCACGGGTACAACCATGGGAGTGGGTAGCTGCTGTATGATAGGGGAAAAGGACACTGAAAATGGAGTGGAGGCGGCCAAAGAACTGAGGCTAGGGTTTTGGAGGAGTTTTTCATGAGCATATTGAAGTCACCAATAAAAATGGCAGATATAGGAGTGGAGAACATGACAGATTCACATAATGAAATCTTCCGTGGATAAGAGGAAGGGGCCAGGAGGTTGGTAGATGCCAGCTGTAAGAAAGGTGGTCTAATACGAGCTTCAAAGAAGTCTTCATGTTTCAAGTGGGGAGAAGTGACATGGCAGCACAAAGAAAACAGACACCAACTTCATTATTAAACCCCAAAGGTTATCTGCATTAGTGACCAAATTACTATATTTACATCCAAATAATCCACATTGTATGGACAACACAAAATCTATTCCATCAATTGTCATAGCTAAAAAGGGATAGTATTTCACTTGAGTTTAACCCTCTTGTCTCTTTTTTATTCCACTGCATAAAGATTTTTGACCTTACTCACAGAGGTACTCTAGAGAATAATTAGCTATCAGTATTTGAAATTATTATACATTCAACTCTATATTCATTTTAAGATTTGCCTTATATGAAATAAACGTTGAAATCTTAGGGTATTACACTGGCAGAATAGAGAATTGTGATATAATGACCAGAAAAGATAAGACTAGGAAGGCACTTCATTCTCATAGGTAATAAGAATGCATGCTCATCCTTTCCTTTCCTCTTTGAAACTGCAAACATAACAATTTAACACTAAAGAGCTGATCTTCCCTTGGCTGAGTGAAGCTAATAATGCAAAATAATCAGCATATCTGGGGTACAATGTACAGGAACAACTTATAATACACACGTCTTCCAGTTCTTTTGACAAATGCCTTTGCTCTGACACCCTATGATAGATCCATTTCTATCTGTCTTCTTTTATAGTGTATCTCAGAAGGAGGGTAAGCAGAATTCGTAGTCTACAACACCACAGTTTGTTTTTTCATTTCACATTCATGATTACTCAAGTCACAAATGACATATGATGCAAACCAGTAATATGTGTTTGCGCCTGACAGAGGACATTTTTCATCTTGCAAGTTTAGGCTACAGCTTTGGCAGCAGGTGTTGTGAATCTCAGTGAAGTGAAACGAGCTTCTAAAGGTCCGACACACTTCAGAGTGTTTCTCAGGTCCGACACACTTCAGAGTGTTTCATGCTACCAGAAATAAAAGGAGCAGTCTGGCTTTTCTATTGTCTAAAATTTCTCTACATCATGAAAGTCTTCAGCTTCCTTCTAGGCTCTATAAACTAGACTAAATCATTTTGCTGTGGTGGTTTTTCTTTCTTCAGATTAGAGCCTAATTACCTAGAACCCACCTTTCCTGTCCTTTGCCATACCTCTTTCCTCTGCACACTTTGATATTGTTGGATCACAGCAGTGTGGGAGCAATTCCTGTACACCAAATAATTATTCATACATCTAGAAAAAGTACTGACTGATAAGACCTGGGCCACAGGAGGCACTTGATAAATACAATCAATTCTCTATATCCGTGGGTTCTACATCTGTGACTTCCACCAAATGTAGATTGAATATTTTTTTAAATGGATGGTTACACTTGTACTGAACATGTACAGACTTTTTTCTTGTCATTATTCCTAAACTGATACAGTATAACAACTATTTACATAGCATTTACATTGTATTAGTTATTATAAGTAATCTAGAGATGATTTAAAGTCTACAGGAGGATGTACGTAGGTTATATGCAAATACTACATCATTTTATATCAGGATCTTGAGCATCCCAGGATTTTGGCATCTGTAGGGGTCTTGGAACAAATCCCCGATGGTTACTGAGGGATGGCTTTACTGGCTGAACAACTTGAGTGACTGCAGCAACAGGTTACTTGTGAGTGGACTGTGAATAGCTGGGGGTAACTCTCCTACCTGCAGCCTTCTAGAGCCTGCCTCCATGTGATTTCCAGTCATTCAGGAGTGCTCTGCCCTAGCACTGCGGCTTTCCTTGCAGGAGAGCTACTTGAGCAGTCAGCACAAGTCCTCATTTCTGTTTGCTTCTTTGTTTTTTCTATTTTACAAGCACTTTTTGCCATTAATGACTTGGTAGTAACTTGGGGAGGTAAAAGGGAGTGTTATTTCCAGCTGATGCTTACAGAAGTAATGAATATGCGAAATATATAATCAGGATGAAAATCATCTCTCCAGCCACTTCCTTCTGCCTTCTTTTACCAACACAAAAGGACTTTGATTTTTTTAGAAGACTTTAACTGTCCAAGCACATCAACACTTCTGACTGCCAATTTGGTCTAATTTGCCCAATAACCACAGCTCTCAGATTCCTTCTAATCTAAGCAGACTTGTATAAAAAGACAGGAAGAGAACATATTTTAGGGGCCTCAGATACCAAGGCCTATGAAACACTTTTATGGTGGGGAGGACATGGATATTGTCATCATCATTATGTAACAGCCCCTGCCTGGGATAAAAACTCACCAAGAGACTTCATGTGCTTACCATCATAGTGAACACAAATTAGGTCACTTATAGCCTATCAAGGCATTCTAGATTCTGAAGGGAATGAACTAGAGTAAAGCTGCCTGGCAAAATTTGACTTGAGAATCTAGACTTCAAACGTATTCTTTTGAGGGCTGGAAGAGGTTGGAACATAAAGAATGTAATTTTGATGAAACAAGTACAAATATCCATTTGGAATAGTTGTATTTAGGGGATTGTTGGGCAAAAATTCGCTTCTTCTATTCCCCTGAACTAAGCAGAAATACTAATATTAATAAATAAAATGGCAGGTTAATGCCATCCCACTCAATCATCAGTTATTTAACCAACTTGTTTCTAATGACCCACTTAGGCATCAGAAGTTCTGGGGCCACATTCCAGAGGCCAAAGGACTCTTCCCCTCCTTCCTTTGCTTACATGGCTTACATTACCTCATGGAGGTATTTAATCCTCCATGCCCCAAACTCATTATCCATATAGCTGAGTAATTTTTTAGCACCATAAATTTGATCACGTATTTCCCTAGCTTAAAACTCTTCACTGGACTTTCACTTAGAAAAAAATCCAAAAATTAAAAATAAAAGTATTACATGATCCAACAATCCTATTTCTTATCCAAATAAATTGTATTTATCCAAAAGAATTGAAATCAGGATCTCAGCCTTAAAAAGGAAATTCTGCAATATGTGAAAAAATGCATGAACCTTGAGGACATTACATTAAGTGAAATAAACCAGTTACTGAAGGACAAACATTGCATGAGACCACTTACACGAGGTATCTAAAATAGTCACATTCATAGTATCAAAGAGTGAAATGGTGGTTGCCTGGGGCTGGGAGAGGGGAATATAAAGAGTTAATAATCAAATAAAGTTTCAGTAAGAAAGATGAATGAGTTCTAGAGATCTGCTATATCACATTTCACCTATAATCAACAATAATGTATTGTACACTAAAAAATATGTCCAGAGGATAGATCTCATATTATGTGTTCTTACCAGAGTAAAAAAATTAAAAAAAAAATCAAACTCCTCAGCACAGGCTATAATGTCCTGGCCCCTCTATAGTCAGCTCATATTACTCTTGCCCTCCTTTACTAAACCCTAGCCAGTCTTCTTTTGAAGCCTCAATTATTCCACGTTCATTTCCGCCTCAGGGCCTTTGCACATGCTGCCCCTCTGCCTGGAAGGCTGTTCCCTTTTCCCCCATGTAACTACCCTCCCCCTCCACAGACAGTTTATCTTGCTCTAAAGCTCTCATTGCAATTGGTAATTGCACATAGGTGTGCTTGCTTGTCAAATGTTTTTCCTCTCTGGAGTGCAAGTTCTAAAAAGAAAAGTGGGGATCTGATGTGTTTTGTTTACCACTCTTTTCCCTGGTACATAGAAGATACTCATTAAATATTTGTTGAAATATGATAGAATAAAATTATGAGGATGGCATAGATGGCCACTGGGCTCACACACCTTCCCCAATTCCCATTGAGTGTTAAGTGACCCCCAGGTAGCAACATCCCCTCTTCATCAGTCCTGGACACTGATCTGACCCAGAGAGCCTTTTGACAAATAATAAATATTAGGACTAAATGGTACATTGGAGATATTAGTTTACAAATGGGAAAATCTGAGCCTTATAAAGCTGAAGTGACTTATCTTGGGAGGGATTGCTTCTTCTCCACTCCCTGAGGTTCCCTGATGAGGGATTTTTCATAAACACTCCAGGCCTCTTATTCTACTTCTACTCACCTCTTGGAGGTGGAGTGAATTAGATGTGTAATGGGTCTGGGAGAGAAACTTGGGATGTGGGTTCCACCTCTCAGCCCCACTTTCTCTTCGGGATGTATCACAGGACACAGACATTCTGCACTGCTCCTCCTTGCTTTAGGGTTAGGCTCTTCTCCAAGGCATGGTGTGCAGGTGTCTGATTCTGCATCTCTCTGGGGTGATGAGACAGACTTTGAAATTCTAGGTTCAGTATTTTCAGGGCCTGCATACATAAGCTGTGTTCTCAAACCTAGCTTTTATCAGTTTAAAAGGAAATAATTTTCTACTTCCTCTGTCTTAGTTCATTCATAACTGGGTGAATTTATTCCGCTTACATCCCGACACCAAAGCCCAAAATTCATCACTGTCAGAGTAAGGGATTAGAATTCATCTTCCCAAGCTCCAGCTCTGATTTCCAATGTGTGATCCTCATAGCTCAGCCAGTTCCCTGACAACTACCTTCTTAGCCATGCCCTAAACTGTCACCACTACAGTCAACACCCCCACTGACCCAGCACACAGGGGCAAGACCATCCTCCAATCCATAATTTTCCCAATCATTATAAATACATTCCAAGACATATTTATAATGATTTCACATGAACATGTTTTCAGGCTAGTGAAATAAATGAAGTAAATGAAAAAAATTGAGTAATGATTAGATTAATGAGATAAATACCTCATCATAAATTAGGTTGTTAATACATATTTTAACATCAACATGTTTATTTTTACTTTTTCATAATTATTTTGTTAATAATTTTCTCAAAAGACAATTTTGTTTTATTTTGAATTGTCTTATGTAGCCTCTTTAGAGCTGGACATTTATCTGGACATGTAATCACAATATTAATCCTCTTCTGGTTGATGCATATTTCAGTTAGTAATTGGCTAAGTAAAGAATTGTATTCTGGTCTGTTATTGCTATAACTGAATGACTATAATATTGCTAATGGGCCAACAGGTGGGCCTTGTCTATGTCTATGCCTATGTTCAAGTAGAATATAAAAATTATTGGGTATGATTATGACCTTTCTTGTTAAAACAAATACCTTCCATGGTCATTCTAGAAACAAGAGGAAGAGAAAAGTACTTGCAATGAAAAAGTAAAAGAAACACATCTCTTTATCAAAAATGTTAACCACTATTACCTCTTAGCCAAAAAGAAAAAGAACTATAATAAAAATATATAAATAAAATAAACTTTCAGAGCAAACAAATAAAAACATCTTCCATGTAGTCATGTTCTTTAGACTGAGGTAGCAGTGTTGAAAAGGGTAAAGCTATTTTAAGTCATGCATTTGGAGGAGCAATGAATCAATGGATGTTTTAACATTTTCCATTAGGAGACTGACATTGTAAACTTTTTTCTGTGTCAAGGTGGTATATGTCCTCTTAGTTTGGAGGCTGTGTGTTATTTCAAAGATTCTTGTGTTTTGGGTATAGCTGGATATAGTTTTGATTTCTCATATTTTTGTTTTTTCTTAGCATTAGTCAGCCAACAACTATCTGCAAAGAACCCCCCTCTAGATGTAGAAATGTGCTAGATCTTGAAGAGATCAGAAAAAGATTATTTCTGTTTTAGCTCCTACTATCTTGAAGCTTATCATTGGTTGGAGACAAACAGATGTGTGTGTGTGTGTGTGTGTGTGTGTGTGTGTGTGTGTGTATATTTTTTTTTTTTTGAGACAGCATCTCACTCTGTCACCCAAGCTGGAGTGCAGGGGTGCAATCTCTGCTCACTGCAACTTCTGTCCGGCACCACCCCCACCCCCACTTCAGCCTCCTAAGTAGCTGGGAATACAGATGCAGGCCACCACACCTGGCTATGTTTTGTATTCTTGGTAAAGATGGGGTTTCACCATGTTGCCCAGGGTCTCAAACTCCTGAGCTCAAATGATTTGCCTGTCTTGGCCTCCCAAAGCACTGGGATTACAGGCATGAGTCACTGTGACTGGCCACAGATGTGTCTTGACATTCTGTTTGTGTATTGTATGCCTTAACACTACTCCCTTACACAAAAAATATCTCCAGTCAAGATAGTTGTCTCTCTTGATTTTTCTTCTCTTAGATGGGGTATAGGCTAAGCTACTGAAAGAAAGAGACCTGGAGACACAGGGGCTTGAACCTGAGAGAAGTGTATTTCCCTCACACACAACAGTCCAGAGGAAAGAGTTATAGGCTGCAGTAGTGGCTCTGTTCCACAAAATGATTTGGGGTTAGGTTCTTTTCATCTTGTGCTTTTACTGTCCTCTTGAGTGTTTTTATTGTTATGACCAAAGACTGGTTGATGTTACATGTGTTCTTTCAGCCTTCAGAAAGTAGAGATTAAGCCTATGATATGTAATTTCATTTTATATAAGTGTGATTGACATAACAATATTTACCAATATCCAGTTATTTTCTATTTATGGCCACACAGAGGATTACACTTATACATTCTTTGTAGTTAGGCATGGTCACATGGCTAATTTTGGGACAATGTGGCATGAGTCACTGCCTTGCTGAAGTTTTAATTGCTAGTGCTTCACTCTCCAGCCACAAAAACCTATGTTGATGTGGAGGTGATACAAGATAGAAACCTGCAGGAATCCTGAGTCAACACATGGAAGATGGCTGCCCAAGAGAGTCATCTGGGCTTGCAACAAATTTCTGTAAGTAAGAAAAAAAACTTTTGTTGTTTATTCTGAAATATAACCTATCCTAATCTGGCTATTACAACAGACGATGTGAAAATTGTACACATAATTTCTGCCCATGTTTTATTGCTGAGAACACAGTCACATGGATACACCTGGTTCAAGGGCTAGCTAGGCTGTTTATACTGCATTACTATGGAAACAGAGGACATCAGATGGTGGGGGTGTTGGGGGCATTAGTAGTCTGCCTTATTTCCTTGTTCAGTGTTACACTTGCTTGCAATAGCCTCCACCCACTTCTCAGTCTGTGCACATCCCACTCATCCACCAAAGCAAAGCCTTCTGCAGACTTTCTTCTTAGAGAAGTTGACTCTTTAATTTCTCTAAGTTCTGATTGCTCAGTATTCATAATATTTTGTTATGGGATTCATTCAAAAAGGTTATGGAATACCTACTCATCTTCAGGCATTGTGTGACACTGGGTATATGATGGCGACATAATTCCTAACTTCCAGAGTTTGCATCTTTCAACTTGCCTAGCACAAGTCCCTATCCAAATTACACAGTAAATAAATACTCCTTAATTGAACTATAAATAAGTCAGTAATGTATCAGCAGGTAATTAAACATTAAGGGACAGAACGCTACTGGCAGATAAGAGAAGGGAGAAAATCCTGTAGTAGATTACAGGAGGCATGAGGGCAGTGATCATGTCTGTCTCAGATCCTGTCTTAAGTCCAGTGCTGATCATTGGATCTGGCACAAAGTGGGAGCTTAATACATCTCTTTTTTTGGCTGAGGAAGGTCAGATTAGCTGAGAAAGGCCTCATGAAGGATTTGAATGGGCAGGACAGGAAGGAGGATTTTCTAGCATGGAGAACTGTGAGGCAGGGGGCCTGATGGGTGATGGTGGGTCTTGAAGAATCTTAGGACGTAAGGTTTGACAAGCATGTAGGGTGGGACCAGATATCAGGAAGACACTCATGGATTTTTGCATCTTCATGTGCTACAAAATGGAAGCATAACCTTTAAAATTTTTTTAATGAGCTCTAGAAAGACTAAACTGTTTTGTTAAATGGATTTGAATATAAATATTAATATTAGAGTCAAAAGAGGACTAAGGGAACACTATAACAATGAAAGCTTAGACTGGGATGGTGATAGAGTACCTGGATGGAAAAGGGCAAATCTCATGGACATTTCAAAGGAAGGATAAATAGGAATTGGCTACATAGAATATAAGGATTAAGGAGAAAAGATGGTTTGAAAAGAGCAATTGTGGATTTCAGCCTGGAATTCCGGAATGAGAGTTACACCAATAAGGAGATTAATGTATTTTACAGAAGGAACATGAAATGAGTTTAATCTGAAACATGTATTTGCTATGGCAGGGGGATATCTTTGTGGGGATGTTGAGCAGGCAACTGAGGCCTGGAGAGCAGGTGTCAGTAATGAGGATGTCTTGGAAACCACATTCCGTGGGCATGCAGACCTAAACAGACCTTGGCTCGGCTTTAATGTTTTCCGGCATGTGTGAAGGTAAACATGACCAATCCTCAGTACAACTGTCAATTGCCTTGCCCTCTCATGGACTCTCCCCTTATTGGTGGAGTTCCTGGCCCATATGTACATGCCAGGGAAGAGGAAGATGCCAGATTATCTGGAGGAAGGGTAGAGTGGATGATGGCTGGAGAGAGGGAGAATGGTAGAAGGAATGCATCCCAGAAAAAAATGTCATGCCTAGGAAGCACAGAGCCCTAGAGCAGAAGCACACAGGCAACTTCTGTAGAGCTACAGAAGTGAAAGATGTACATATATGTGTATACATGTGTGTAGGCACAGTCAAATGCATATGTATTTATAAAAGAGCAGCAAATGTGTCTCCCTCACCAACCCTGTCCCTCAGCTATGTTTCAAACCACCTACCTATTCCTTCATTCATTCAATAAGGACTTACTGAGTTCCATTTATGTGCCAGACAGTGGAATGTGGAAAAGGCGCACACAGACATAGTCTCTGCCCTCACAATACCTATATACTAAAGAACCCATATATAGGTGATGAATACATACAAACTAATTTGCTAAAACTGTGGTAAGTGTGAAGGAGAGAACTATGTGCTCTTGGTTTTATCAATCTTGCCTCCTCAAGGTAAGAGTTTAAGTAGAGTTTTGTGGAAGCAACATGTATTTTGGGTCAGTTGATACTTTGAAAACTGGTCATTTAAGAAAATACTAAACTGACGGCTTGGAGAGGAGGGCCTGACCTTGGGTGCTTAAAGCTATTCCCACTCCATCTACCACCCACAATCCCGGCACCTCATTCAAAAGGCAGTCTCAATGAGAGTAGAGCCTTTTACCTGCAGCTTCAGAGGCCTAGAAATATCTGTACAGACTTCTTCTCAGTTACTTCCAATTGTAATGGATTAGTCTGTCTCTGAGTTCAAGAAATAAGGGAAGTAAGGCTGGTGGAAAAATAATACAAATGGGATGTCCAGAAGATAATGGTAATAGTGGAGGTTTGGGGTGAGGTTACAGGATGATAGATGTGTAGATTATTTTAAATTTAATTTGTATTTCCTTTTTTTTTTTAACCCATTGGGTCACAGATTCATTGGGTAGTAGAGTCAGGATTTTTGTCATTGGCTGGAACCACTAGAATTATAGTTCCACAGACCTTGAGTAGAGAAGCCAGTATTCCAGGGAACCTCTGACCTCCTCAAGTTACAGCTGTAGAGCTGTTGGATAGGTTCTACTAGAATACAGCTTTGTCCATGAGGACACAGACCATTGCCATCTGTCCTTCAGCTCCCTGCTAGACTTAGATTTGCCCCCATGAGTACTCCCCCAAACAATGGCACCTCAGCTAACTCAAATTTTCATTCCAGAATTCCTGCGGCTTTGAGCCATCAGGACATCTGACACTGGTCTTCAGAGGGGAGGACGTGTAGCAGCGTGGGTGGAAGAGGTGGTGTTAGAAGATATTGGGAGAAACAGATTCCATCTGCATGTCTTATTTATGGATGCCTTTGTAAGAAAAGAGATGGTCTGGGGAGAAAAAGTGTCTCAGTTCTTAACCATGTGGGAGGGTAGATGTGGGTGAGCGGAAAGTTAGACTTTCAGGAATACAGATCAGAAAACTTTGTTTCATAATTTTCTGAGTTAATATGTATATACCATAAAGTGAAAAACTATATAATGTGGCTATGATACCTTTTAGTAATAATGCATAATACAGTTACTGAATTATGTTTAAGGATTTGAAATTGTTGAAACTTGGATTTTCAGTAAAAAATTAATAGCCACTTAAACTATTTGTTGTCTATATAACTTATTTAGGAAACATCTGTTGATAGCTTGCAATATGAAAGCAATTTGTTTTTCACAAAATGTGTAAGGCATAGCCCTTGACTTAAACAACATGGCATGTGGTAGAGAGATTCAAATAAAGTGATAAGGGATTTCCGAGGATTGGTTTGGGTTTATGGTAACTGGGGAAGATATCTTGGAAGAGGTAGCATTTAAACTGAGATATGCAGCATGGACACATTTTAGCATTCAAGCAGGTAATGACTGGCATCCCAGGTAGAAAGAATGTGGATTAAAATCATGAAGCTACAATAAAGCAAAGGAGTGGGTAATTTAGTCTGGCAAAAGCACAGGGTGTAATATGAGAGAAGTGTGGACTAACCTGATAAGGTCTTGAAGGGCCTTGAGCCAGCCTAAAGAGCATGAACTTCATGTAATGAGGAGGCCTGGGAACCTTTTGAGCAGCAGAGCTGAATGGTAGAGTGGTATATTAGGAAGGTAAATCTCATAGCAGGCTGGGGTAGATCACCGGAAGAGATGAAGTGCAAATGGAAAAAGCAAGGTAATGAGATTTCTCTTTGTGCTGGTGTTTTGGCATAACAGACTTAATGGATGTATAACTCAAAGGAAAGATCAGTGCAAAGATAAAAACTGAAGGTAAAAATAAGACTAAGTTATTTTTAAGGAATTAAAACTGTTGAAACTTTAGTCTCGAACAATGGAGGGAAGTGTCAAGACCATAAATGGAAGCGTTAGCCAACCCTCCCACACCTACTCTAAGACCTGAAATAGAAGAAAAAGAAACAAATTAAAGTATACTTCAAAATTACTCAAAGAGTATATTTAAACATTCCCAACATTCTCATCACAAAAAAATAAGTAGGTGAGGTGATGGGTATGTTAATTGGCTTGATTTAATCTTTCTGCAACATACATATATCAAAATATCACATTGTACCCCATAAATATATACAATTATTTTTGGTCAATTAAAAATAAAATTAGTTAACCAATTAATTTTTTAAAAGGTGTCATGGGAGGTTCTAATGAAGGTGCTAAGGTCTGAGATAGAGAATTTCCTAGCACAGGCCTGTATCTCCTTATTCACCTGCCAAATATAACCGAAGCATAAATAAAAAGTTTTAATTCTGACTTGGCTTTCACAGAAACCTGAAAAGTTCAGTCAAATGTGACTCAGCTTGAAGAACATAGAAATTTTACTCCCTATAAAACTCTTTGGTTTCCTACTGTTTCAAGGAGGAGGACTTCTTGTTAAAATGAGGAACCTTACTGATCTGCCTATGATAACAATCTCAATAATTCTGTAGGACCCATCTTGAGAACTGCTGTAGATACTGCAGCTATTCCTCCCCCAGTTTCACAGGGATTTTGTGAGGCTAAATAAAGCAAGATAGCAAACGTAAAATATTTTCTCTATAAAAAGTTGTTATGCAGATATTATAGGCCTATAAAAAAGTGCAATGTGATTATTGCAACATATCAGAATAACCTGTGATTGTTTTCTGTTCTTTATTATTTATATTCAACCATCTTAGAAAAAGAATGTAAAGCAGTTTTATTGGCTTATCATTTTTAGGAGTGTCCTATATATGTTGATGAGGAGATTAGTGGGGAAAAAAATACTTTAAGCCAAGCAGGGTGTATGGGTAATAATGGTATCTGCCAAAATGACACCCTTAACATTGTTGATATATAAACAATTACAGCACTGGAGGGTAGACCATTTGGGGCTTGTCCAGGGAATAAACTATAGTTACTGCCTTCTATGGCACAGTAATTCCAGGAGAATTTACCTACTGAGCTGGATCATTCTGAGGACATACTTATACTCCGGGCTGTAAGAAGGAAGCTTTCTGGCCACATGTAAGTATCCATTTAGTACCCTTTAGTTCAATACTATATGGACCCAGTTCTGTCATTGGAAAGAGGGGGAAATGTGGGAATTGAGTAGAGATCTCTTTTCCAAATAATAATGAGAATCACTGCCAGCTCCCATCCATCTCATATCACATAACTGGTTAGTTAGTAACTAACTAACCAAAAGTATGTGTTGGTTAGGAATATTGCCTGCCATCCCTGGATACATTTAAAGGCTTTTCACTTTTTCAGAGTTGTGGACCAGTAGACTTGTTTTCTCATGCTCAGGACTCAGGACTCTTAAATTGTGTTCACATTAATAAGATTTCCTAAAACCTTGAGTGGGTGTGGTCTGAGTGATTTGTAAATATCATGATACGGGCATTTCATAGTTTTTATCTTCAATCTGCTACTAAGATTGTTGATAAGTGCTTACACTACTCCAGGATACTGTAATAAGTCTCTATATTCATTTTTTCATAATATTCTTATGAGGCAGTTAACATTACCTCTATTGTACAGACAAAATATATGTGATATTTTCTAAACAAACCACTAATAATACCTAAATATATACAAATAGAAATGTCTTTATTCTTCAGTAAGAGAAGTCTGTTTTTGAGTTTTATTTCTGATGACAGAAAGCTAATCTTGCCACAAGGTAAACTCAGCTCCTTCTTATTTTTCTTAGTGCTGCCTGGTTGACTATTCACCATAAAATTCTCTCCCTCTTAGTTTTTCTCTTACCCATAGAAATGACCTATGTCTCAGGAAGTTTCCATCTTGCCCTGGCATTGGGGGATAGATGAACTACTAGAAGAAAACACTGGGAAAATGCCATAGGACACGAGTTTGGGCAAAGATTTTTGGGGTAAGACCTCAAAAGCACAGGCAATGAAAGCAAAAATTGACAAATGGGATTATATCAAGCTAAAAAGCTTCTGCACAGCAAAGGCAACAATTAATATAGTGAAGAGACAACTTGCAGAATGGGAGAAAATATCTGTAAACTTTCCATCTGACAGGAGATTAATATGTTAAATATTGTTCCAAAATGTATAAGAAACCCAAACAGCTCAATAGCAAAAAACAACAAATAATCTAATTTAAAAATGGGCAAAACACCTGAATAGACATTTCTCAAAAGAAGGCATACAAATGACTAACAGGTATATAATAAAATGTTCAACATCACTAATAATCAGTGAAAGGTAATTCAAAACCACAGTGCAATATCATACCACCCTAGTTAGACTGGCTGTTATCACAATGACAAACAATAACAAATGCTGGTAAAGGGGTGGAGGAAAGGGAACATTTATACATTGTTGGCAGGAATGGAAATTGGTACAGCCACTATGGAAAACAGTATAGAGGTTCTTTTAAACACTAAAAATAGAACTACCATGTAATCCAGCAATCCCACTGCTGGGTATGCATCCAAACGAAAGAAAATTAGTACATTGAAGAGATATCTGCATTTTCATGTTTATTGCAGCACTATTCATAACAGCCTAGATATGAAATCACTTATACTTGATATAAGTGGAATTATACAGCATTTGTTCTTTTGTTACTGGCTTATTTCACTTAGCATAATCTCAAAATGATGATAGGTGTCTATCAATGGATGAACGGATAAAGAAAATGTGGTACAAATTCACAATGGAATAGAATTCAGGCATAGAAAGAATGCAATGCTGTCATTTGCAGCAACATGGATGAGACTGGAGGTCATTATGTTAAGTGAAGTAAGCCAGGCGCAGAAACACAAATATCACATGTTCTCACTCATATGTGAGAGCTAAAAAAAAGTGTATCTCATGAAGGTAGAGAGTGGAATGGTGGTTACCAGAGGCTAAGAAGGGAAAGGAGAAGAGTGGGATGAAGAGAAGTTGATTAATGGGTACCAAAATGTAGATAGAAGGAATGAGTTCTAGTATTTGATATTATAGTAGGGAAATTATAGTTAATAATAATAATTTATCATATATTTCAAAATTGCTAGAAGAGAAGAATTGTAATGTTCCCAACACAAATAAAAGATAAATGTTTGAGGTGATGAATATCCCAGTTACCCCGATTTAATAACTACACATAGCATACATGTATCAAAATATTACATATACACTTAAAGTATGTACAACTCTGATGATTTTCTAATCATGCATTAATAATCACTCAGTTTGGCTGAGGAGACATGCCAGTAATTTCCTATAAAATATTTAACACTAAGCAGCATAACCTTACAAGGTGTCCTCCAATGTAAATGAGCTGCTAAATATATCTCTAGGTAACTAAAAGAACTTGACCTATAAGTGAAGATATTTCATCAAATCAGTTATATTTTTGCAAATATCTGCCAAAACGAGATTTTACTTTTAACTTAATATTGATGATTTTTTCCTTTTTGGCAATAAATAGGTATTGGAATCAATTAATTTTTAGAAACCTCTAAATAGTTAACCTACATAGTAAGACACATTCTTTCTATTGCATTTAAGGTGGCATAAGAACCTGTATTCAATCCTTCTAAATAATCATTAGAAATCTGAGATATAGGTTAAGAAGCAGGGTGATTAAAACACACACACACACACATACACAAAACCTCCTACATGCCAGACACTGAGGTGATACGATGTGTGACCATTAGATCCTATCCTAGAGTCAGGACTTCGGAAACACCTTTCGGGTAAAATGATATTCAATCTTATACCTGAAAAATAATGGCGGTTTTCCAGATGAAGTGAAGGGAACAGGTTGTTTTAGATAGTTTTTTTTTTTAAAGACAGTTTTTAAAAAGTACATGGATATGTGTAGATGGGTAAGCATAAATTGTGATAAGAATTCAATATCTCTTCATCTTCCCTTCCTTCCCCTTTTGAAACAATTTAGCCAAAACGTCATTAAGTGGGGCTAAGCAGGGTCAGTGTCCATGCCAGTAGAATGGGGAGGCATCGTGCTCAAGAGCAAAATGTTAGAGTCTGAGTGGTGTAAAGAGAATGGACCAGATGGTGGCCCAGTTTAGTGTCTGAGCCCAAGCAGGAAGAAGAGAACTTTCACAAAGGCAGGGCTGCTGGTAACAGGCGGCTGTTTGGGATCAGAACCCAAGTGGCTTGAAGAGGATATCTTCAAGGGATGCCAGCCAAGAGCAGAGTAACAGAGACCAAGTGGGATGAGAAGACCGAACCCTATGGTGTTAGACTGGAATTAGAGATATTGGTGTGAGTTATGGTTTTCAATACAAATGGAAGTATAAATAGATAAGATAGATTTAGGAAAAATGTAGGTATAAACACGTGTATATGTGTGTGTATATTTTAGGTTTATGTATATTTATGCATACACATACACACATAAACACAAACATACATTTCCTAACGCTCTTTTTTGAGAAGACACCTAGTAACAACAATAACTTAAAAGCAATGAGTATATCTAGTACATAGATCATGTTTTCTGATGACCATTTTTCCTTAAAATTAACTGAAGCTTCTTGGACTTGAGCAGAGGAAGTACAAAATGAGTCTGGGCTATTTTCTTGTACCAGAAAGCAAAGAACTATCCAAGAAGGTCGGGAGCCTGTCAGAAGGGCATAGGAGACAACCTGAAGGGGATCACACTGCCTAAATCTGAGATAATTTAAATATCAAAGTAAATGACGATAGTAACTTTTTGAATAAAATAGAAGTTCATAAATATATACTGATATAAATAAGATATTGAAAGTTTCATGAGGAACTGTATATTTACACAGTCTCAAATTACCTCCCCACAAAACACTTATTAATTATGAAGGAAGAATTTATAGTTAAGAAGTCTGGCAAACACCACCTTAATTGAATGATCAAAGTTGACATCACAAATAATGTGACAATTTGAAATCATATACCAACTGCTAAGAATCAAAAGCAAGGGAAACAAAGGATCACTTCTATAATATTCCATCCAAAGATGCACAACCTGGATGAAAAACAAACCCTAATTAAGAACATGCTACAAAGTAAATCTATCCAATAATCTCAAAAACTGCTGATGTCACTGAAGTCAAGGAATGACTGGGGAATTCTTCTAGACTGAAGAAGACTGCAAAGACATCTAAATGCAACACATGGGTGGTACTTCCAGATGGCAAAGTGAGTTTCTCTGAAAAATCTGCTCCTTCTTAAAAGCAGCGAGGAACGTGGAAAACATTGTCAAAATCATATCCTTCGGTACTCTTAAAATTAACCAAAAATCTGCAATAGCCCAAAAAGTGTTTATTCAAGAAAAATAGCTAAATCTTGGTAAGAATAGTGAGCTTTATGGCATTTTAACTTGGCCTAGTTTCATCTTCCATTGCCCAGCTCTGCAGAAGCCTTAAAAAGCAGCAGCATTGCAAACATAGTAGCTGTGAAGACCATCATCCTAGCAGCCACTAGGAGGGGCAGAACAGGTTTGGAGCTTCAATAGAGCCCCATCCACACAGAATTATCACTATTTGACCTGTCACTCAGCTTCATGGAAAAGCCCCATTCACAGGAATTATTATTTGACATGATTCAGAGTTCACTCAGTGGGAAAAGTCCTATTTCTAGAGTAGTTGTTCAAAACATTAAGTGGCAATTAATTAACATAGCAGCTTCTCAAAGGAGGAAAAACATAGGACTATAGCTTGAGATAGAAGATATGGATTTGAGAAGCACAATATAAGAAGAAAAATACTATGGAATGCTTGTTGTGGATTGCACTGTGTCCTCCAGAAACACGTTTACATTAGCCCCTGGTACCTGTGAATGTGACCTTATTTGAAAATAAGGTCTTTGCAGATATAATCAAATTAAAATAGTATTACTGGCTTAAAGTAGGCCTTAAATCCAGTTACTGGTGTCCTTATAAGGAAAGGGAAATTTGGACATAGACATACAGAAGAGACACACACAGAGAAGTAAGAAGGCTATGTGACAACAGAGGTAGAGATTGGAGTGATGCAGCCGCAAGCCGGGGAACACCAAGGATTGCTGTCAATCACGAGATGCTAGGAAGAAGCAATGATTCTTTCTTAGAGACATGACAGGAAACATGGTCTTGTCAACAACTTGAGTTCAAATTGCTAACCTCCAGAGCTGTGAAAGAATAAATTTCTATTATTTGAAGCAGAATTAAAGCAACAGTATGTGGCAATTTGTTAGAGCAGCCACAGGAAACTAATAGAAGTTGTGATGCCAATTACGGCAAAGAAGAAGCTGGACAAAAACTGAAAAGGAAGATATGGAGAAAGAGTTGTCTATAAGGGCCTTTATAAAGCTCCAATGTATTCCTGGGAATCTAGGAAAGTATATGATTGTGTAAGGCTGTGTACTACCCAGGAAAGATCTGAGAAGGCTCTTAATTTCTTCCCTCTGAGTGACACTGAGGCCCTGCAAAAGCACTAAGTGAAGTCCAAGGCAGAACTGTAAACTGAGAACTGAAGGCCTGCTCTGACACCAAGCAGTGCCCTTCCACAAACGAATGAAAATTTATTGGCCTGATCGTTAAAAAAATCTATTTCATCCGGGCGCAGTGGCTCACACCTGTAATCCCAGCACTTTGGGAGGCCGAGGCCGGTAGATCACGAGATCAGGAGATCGAGACCATCCTGACCAACATGGTGAAACCCCATCTCTACTAAAATACAAAAAAATTAGCGCGCAGCCTGTAGTCCTTGCTACTTGGGAGGCTGAGGCAGGGGAACTGCTTGAACCCAAGAGATGGAGGTTGCAGTGAGCCGAGATCGCACCACTACACTCCAGCCTGGGTGACAGAACGAGACTCTGGCTCAAAAGAAAAAAAAGTCTATTTCATTTGCTGAACACTAAGCTAACTGAACAGGGTTAGAAGTTAGCTCAGTGGCCACATATGCCAGAGAATATAGACTTTTTAGAACCAATCAAGGAAAGTAACTGAATGAACAGCAGCAACAACAACAAACTGTGTTGTGGCTGTCAGAAAATAGATTGAGAGAGCTGCCACATTATATTATTTAAAACATCTAGTTTTCAATGAAAAGTTATGAGTCACACAAAGAAAGAGAAAAGCAGTCACAGAAAAGAAGCTTAAATAGCAAGTGGAAAAACAATTCAAGATGTAAAGGGGATCCTTAATAAAATGAACAGCTGACTTCTATCAGAAACTATGAAGTTCAGGAGGCAGTAAAATGACATAAGCAAAGTGTTAAAAGGAAAAGACTCTTAAGCCAAAATTCTACATCTAGCCAAATTATTCTTTAAAAATAGAAGAAGAATTTAGGGCATTCTCAGTTAAACAAAATCAGATAATTTGTCACTAGCAGATATACCCTACAAAAGAAAACATTAAAGAGAGTCCTTCGTGATAATATGAAAGGACACTAACCAATAACAAATCCACACAAAGAAATAGAGCACTGGTAAAGGTAACTACAAAATACAGTATAAATTTAGTTTTTGCTTGTAACTTTTTTATTCTCTTACCTAATTTAAAAGGTAACTGCAGGCCAGGCAAAGTGGCTCATGCCTGTAATCCCAACACTTTGGGAACCCAAGGTGGGAGGATCGCCTGAGGCCAGGAGTTTGAGACTAGCCTGGGCAACAAAGTGAGACTCCAGCTCTACAAAAATACAAAAATATTATCTGGGTGTGGTGGCATGCACCTAGAATCTCAACTACTTGGAAGGCTGAGAGGATCACTTGAGCTCAGAAGTTTGAGATTACAATTAGCTATCATTGTGCCACTTCACTCCAGCCTGGGTGACAGAATGAGACCCTGTCTCTTAAAAAAACTGCATGAAGCAATAATTATAAAATTGTTATAGTGTAAAGATATAATCTGACTAACAGGAATAGCACAAAGGAGGAGGAAAAGAATATAGCCACATTGGAGCAAAATTTTGTAAACTATTAAAATTAAGTTGATCTTCATCCTAATTATATAGTTTTTAAGTTAAGATATTAATTGTAATCCTCAGGGTAATTACTTGGAAAAGAACTTTACAAAAGGAAAAGAGACAATATGAGAATTAAAATGGTAATTTTAGAAATATTTACTTGATACAAAATAAAACAATAATAAAGAAATAAAAGAACAAAAAAGACATAAGACATGTGGAAAACAAACAGAAAACAGTAGGTGTAAATCCTCTCTTAGTGGTAATTATATTAAACACACATGTACGAAACACTTCAATCAGAAGGCAGATACTGAACAATGGATTATTAAAAAATGGTCAAAATATGAGCTGCCTAAAAGAGACACAATTTAGATTCAAAAGCTTAAGTGGTTGAAAGCTAAAGGATGTAAAAAGCCCATACCAAGCATAAAGACAGCCATAAGACAACTAATACCATACAAAATAGATTTTAAACAAGATCTCTCACTAAAGATAAAGACGGACATTTTATAACGATAAAAGGGCTCATCTGTCTGGAAATATAATAAACGTACAAGCACATGACAACAGAGCCCCCAAAATACATGAAACAAAACCTGGCAGAATTGACAGGAGAAATAGACAACCTAATAATAACAGAGACTTCAATAGGCCCCTTAAATAATGAAGTCTAAAAAGTAAAAAAAATAAATAAATTTCAAAAAATGTTTATAAAATAAGAATATAAAGAAAGAAAATATTTTTGTACAGCTGTACAATGTGTTTGTGTTTCAAGCTAAGTGTTATTACATAAGAGTCAAAAAGTTTAAAAATTAAAAAGTTTTTAAAGCAAAAAAAGTTACAGTAAGCTAAGGTTAGTTTATTACTGAAGGTAAAATTTTTAAAATAATTTTAGTGTAGCCTAAGTGTATAGCGTTTATAAAGTGTCCCAGGCCTTCACATTCACATTCACTCACCGCTTCCTCACTGAATCACCCAGAGCAACTTCCAGTCCTTTAAAAAGCTCCATTCATGGTAAGTACCCTATACAATAAAGTGTATCATTTTCTATCTTTTATACTGTAATTTAATTGTACCTTTTCTATGTTTAGATCTGTTTAGATACAGAGATACTTACCACTGTGTTAAAACTGCCTACAGTATTCAGTGCTGTAACATGCTATACAGGTTTGTAGCCTAGGGGTGTAATAGGTTATACCACCTAGGTTTTTGTAAGTACGTGCTATGGTGTTGACACAATGACGAAATTGCCTAAAAACACATTTTTCAGAATGTATTCCTATTGTAAAGCAATGCATGACTATGTATACACACACACACACACACACACACACACACACAAACAGTTCAGCTCACTTATAGATAAAGCTATTTTTCAAATTACAAAAGAAAGCATCATATATTCTACTCAAATTTTTACCTTCTCTACTGAGAGATCATGTGAAGAGGAAAGCTAAAACACCAAGATTGAGATGAACTGAGATATACTCTGACAAGTCAGGTTGGGGAACATGGGCAAGCCATTTACTGTACTTATCTGATTTTTAATTTCACTTGTAAAATAATATTTAAAATTCCCCTGAATGTTGTTAATTCTAATTTTTCTGTAATTTTATTTAAGTGTAACTATTTAGAAACATATTTAGTATATGAGGCAAATTACCTATTGTTTCATTCTTTTAATGTTATAATACTAAATATATATATTTATATTTAGGAAATGAATTTATGGATTGAGCTGTTTTAATTTTTTAGTAATATTTTATAATTGGTCACTTACGACTTGTAAGTCTATTTTCCATTGTATACATTGTACACTCAAAAACATTAAAATAATTCTGTGAAAATAAAGTGTAAGCTTCTGTTTTCATTCCTCCCTGTTACTAAG
Source organism: Homo sapiens (assembly GCF_000001405.40). Taxonomy (NCBI): domain Eukaryota; kingdom Metazoa; phylum Chordata; class Mammalia; order Primates; family Hominidae; genus Homo; species Homo sapiens. Next base: position 38,253,182 of record NC_000014.9, read on the forward strand.
CTTGTTTCTCTGCCTCTCTGCATGCACCAACCCCCACACTCTTAGTTTTAAAGTCTCAGCGTACTAATAAAAGTGGGATATCTTCTAGGGACTTTGATTCCACGAGGCAGTGATTTTTATTATGTCTTAATTATTTTTCATGGGAGTGCTTCATTTAGATTACTTTCTAATACCCCCCAGTTATAACAAGATGATAGATTTTTTAAAATTTGTCACTTATTTCTTATACTATTATTTCTTATGGTAAACTGTTTACCATGCCTTTGCCCATGTAAACACTTGTAAGATTATAATCACTCCAAAATGAGCAAGTATTGTTATTGCACACATTCTTATCAAGAGAAAAAGAAAATGGCTTGGTGTTCAAGTTTTTCCATGGGTTGAAAAATGCACAAGAACTTAGCAACTTTGGAGGAAAACCAGCTTACTTTTTCTTTGATGCAACCAGAAGATTGCAAATCAATACTTAGCATTAACATTTTAATTGAGAATTAACATCACCATAATTGAAGATGAGGATGAGCATCTTGATGTTCAGGAGAGGGCTATTTGCTTGGGGAGGTCATTACGCTGGAAAGCACAAACACTGGAAAGGGAAAACGCAAATTATGTGTTTTCCTTGGGCATGGACATAAAGTAAACACTTGAACTGGTGGTCAACTGTAATTTTCTTCCAGAGCCAGCAATTCTGGCAACACTACACTTTCGATTTATAGCAAAGCACACAAGTAGCAGTGACTTTGAAAAGAAAGGATAAAAGAATCAATGAAAAAGTTACTAGTTCTTAAAGATCTGTGTCTCATTCGAGGAACTTAAGGACCTCTCCCTCAATCTAAAAGCAGAATGCACTCTTGCTGCTTACTCCCAGCATGCCCTCAGCTGTTCCTAATTACTCCTGGAGGAAGGCAATGATATTTGAGTCTGGGTTATCAACAATCCTTTAATTTTTTATTTTTATTTTTTTCCCTGGGATTTCGAACCAATATACTCCTAGCCTGAACAACATAGAACATTTCCTTTCCATTTTGGTAGAAATTATTTTTTAATGTAAATTATATTGTGTTCTATTTGTTTCCAATGTCTTGAAAAGTTCAATCACTTCTCCAAATTCTCCGAATAAACATAAGAAAATATCTCTCCCCAGCACTACCCGGTCCCCCAGTATCACCATCCTAAAGGCACTTCCACTTCCTCTATCATCAGGGAAGGAGTGTGCAGTTCTGATTTAGCTCCTCAGTGGAGTAAAGGGAATTTAGAGGAAGGGGGATTTCTGCAGAAATTGTCAGTTACACAAGTAAGTTCCTCTTGGTTCCCCGTTTCATCAAAAGTGAAAAACTGTTCACAGGAGTGCCCATGTCCCCTGTTTCCCTATGCATCACTAGAGCCAAGAGGGGACTCCGCCAGCAAGGCACCCTCTGCTCTGTCCCGCAGATCACAGTCCCCGACTTTCACCCCATTGTTTGTGCAATGTGCAGAACTGGAGCCCAAAGCAGCGGGCTCAGGATCACTCTCCAGGCCCGGCGGGCCCATAGACTCCTTCCTTGGCTGGGAAGAGGGGCTTTCGTGAAAGCAGAGCTTGACAAGCCCCAGTACTGTCATGGTCAAGATCACCAACACTACTACTGCTGTGCTCACAAATATGAAGACCACGGCAGAGGAGGAGTCGAAAGCCTGAGGAGTGGCAGAGGAAGTCGTAGAATTAAACTTGGAAATCACGCTCCCTGATGGGGTGATAGTGGCCTTTGACTCGGCTTGAAGGGACATTTGAAGGGTAGACATCGTGCTCTGTGATCCCCATCGAGGAATCTCAGGAATAGATGTTACTGAATTGTCTTGTTCAGGGACAAGTGGTGTCTCTCCCAGCTTCTCGTCGACCCTGATTGGCCATGTTCTCTGCGGCACGGGGCTGGTTGCAGTGGCCGGCGGGCGCCTGGTGGGCACCCCGGTCCCCCCAAGGGTCGGCTGTCCTTCCCCACTGGTCACACAAGAGCGGCCGTCCTTCCCCAGCTCGAAGCCCGTAGCACATTCGCAGGCAAAGCCTCCCAAGTCGTCTAGGCAGTTAGGGAGCTCTGCGCATTTGCCAGCACGGAGGTACCTCCCGGGGCAGGGACACAACACATCGCCCGAGAGTTTGTCCCAGCGAGCGCCGATTTCGTCCGCGATGCAAGTAACTGAGATCGGGAGCTGTCCCCGGCAGAGCGCACTCACCTCGGTCCCAGGTGGACTGAAGTCCAGAGCGGCGCTGTGCAGCTGGAAGGGCGCGCGATAGCTCAAGTTAGAGGCGGCCCCGGGGCGCGGCGCAGGACACAAGACCTCAAACTGGTACTTGCACAGGTAGCCGTTGGCGCGCAGGTGGCATCGCATCTCCTTCCAGCCTGCGGGCTCGACCCCACCGGTGGCCTGGAGTACCGCGCATCTCCGCGCGGTGCAGGAGCGTTGGGGCTCCTCCACCCACTGCAGCGTGTCGCTTTCGAGACCGCCGGGGTCGGAGGACAGCCAGGAGAAACCCCGCAAAGGCTCGTTCTCCAGGGTGCAGTGGGAACGCCTGCGCTCCAGTGCGACCCAGAACAGCAGGTCTTTGGAGCCCCCTCCGGGCCCTGGGCCTGCCCGCAGGAGCGCGAGCACAGCGCGCAGCTCGGCGCCCGCACGCACGGTGCTGAGCGCCCCACCTCGCAGGATGCAGGCCTCCTCGGCCGCCTGCCGCTTCATGGTAGCGTGGTGCAGGCTGTAGCAGGCCCCCGAGGCCGAGCAGCCAGCACGGTCGGCAGTGGGGTGTTCGCCGCCGCCCGGCCCGGGCCAGAGCGCCTGCCAGAGGAGGCACAGGGCGAACGCCGGCCTCATTCTCTGAGGCCCCGCACGCAGAGCTGCTCCCAACTTGGATCTGTCCCGCTCGAGGACGCAGAGCTGTGTCTGGAGCGCGGTCACCGCCCTCTACAGCTGGCTTCCCCAACCCGGTTCCCCCTCCCTTCCCCTCCGCCCTCGCTCCCGACGGACCCCCCAACTGCCAAGAATCCCCCCGCGGGCCCAGCGGCCAACAGTTTCCCTTAGGCCGCGACAGGAAATGTGTGCGGAGCGCTGCCAGGCCCGGTGCAGCCCTGAGTTATTCTGGGGTCAGGAACACAGCTGGCGCCGGGTACAGGGGACGCAGTCGACTAGAAGGTCAAACACCCTGCTTAGAGCAAGAGGAGAAATTCGCCACTGGGATGAAGTGTGTGGTTTTTCTCCGTTCAGGGAGTTTCATCAGGACCGCAGAACCCATAACACGTAAGCGAACATAGGCAGGAAGGACTTGAGAAAGGAACTGGCTTATGATTATAAGACCACGCCCGTCTATTGTGTTTCTGTCCGGAGCTGTGGAGTTAGCGTCAGAATAATTCGTAGACGGCTCCAGTGTTTGGGGGGCCTGTGCCTGTGGGGGAAAAATATGTTGTGAAACAACTTAGCAACTGCTTTTGCCACCAGAGGCAGCACTATTTAACCGCATATCTCTCTATGGGTCTTTGCTTCTCTATTATGTCAAGAGATTTCAGGAGTCCTAACTACTAAAGAATTTGGAGTTGTTTGGGTATTTTAAATGGGAAATTCTGCTTCTTCCATCAGCACTTGCTTTAGAAATTTATTTTTCACTTCCACGTGTTTCTCTTTGAGTTAGACCATATTGATTCATTACAGAAAGGAAATGTATTTCTAGGACTAAATGAAAAATAATGACCATAGATCTTAACAGTTAGGTTGTTAGCTTTCCTTGCCACTGTATTGGTTCAAAAATTCTTCAAGTTTATAGGTTATACATAAATGAGTTCGTGGCCTTATAAATATTCGAGAACAACTGCCCTATGTGTGATTTTAGCCTTGAACTATTTTAGTATCATTTTCTCCTATGATTGAGTGGCAGCATTTATAATAGTAAGTTGTAAACATCTCCTTTAAGGAAAATTAGAGTTCCTTAAGAAATTAAAATGTTTATTCCATTATAATGAATATTGTATACTGTCAAAAAATATCTTGTAATTTGAAAGATGGGTGAGCCAATTTCTTTAGAATTCCAGTGGGTGTTTTGTTTTAATATAAACATTTCAACTCAGTGGGAAGTGGCAAGGAATTAAAGATGAATAAAGAAGTAAAGGTTAAAAACTGTACTGTTATGAAAGGATTTCTTGTTAGCAACTTAGACAATTCAGTATCAGTTTAGAAAACGTACATTCTATCTTGGTTCATAATGGCCAAATACGTTGCCATCAGAAATACATAGAGAGTTTCAGCTAAGCCCTCTTAGAGATGTCTGATGCTTTTAAATATCTTTAATCAGAATGAAAGTTGCCATTCCATGGATAATGCATATAAGCTCACTTTGTTTTACTGCATTCAGGTTGATGAGGGGTGGGAGGGAAGGTTTCAGGATCACATCTGTATGCTTCCATCTTATTTTTACCATAACTCTCATTCTTCTTTCCTCCTGGAAATTCCATGTATCTTAACAAACAACAGTAAGCCTATGAGTCATCATCATACTTACCTTGCTTTTGCTGAGTATGGAGCTTTGCACTAGGATTTCTCTCCTGCCCTATTTCCCAATTTAAAGAACATTCCTTAGTCCTTCCTTCAGATGTCTGAGAATCACCTTAAACGTGGCTTTGCGTTTAAATTAGGTAACTTAGTGTCTTATAAGAAAGAAACATGAAAATCCAGAAATCAAATTGAATGGTTTTTAAAAAATACTTAGTCACTTGGGCCAGCTCTCTATAGACCATTGCAATCTTATGACTGTGTTTGTAAATGTGTCCATGTAGTGCAATATTTTTAATAAAATCTTTTTCAAACTTAAGTAGTCAATGGAAATTTCTTAGATAGCTTTAAAAATCGTTTGGGATGAGATGAGGTGTCTACAGTAAGAAAGAATGAATAGCTGGAAAGCTTAAGTAAATACATGATCTCACTCCCTGACATTCTGTCTAGGGGAGTGGGATTATAGCAGAGAACACATTGGCCATAACGACTATATGAGAGTACTGACCATGACCATGACCATATCATGGAATGACACAAGAGTTAGAAAAAATTAGCTCAAAGTAGGACGTAAATAGTTTTGTAATTAGTTTGAAATAGACAGTTTATCTGACCAAATTAGAAATGGAGGAAAGTTTCTATTTTTTAATAATATTTATTAAGATAATAATATAGAACCATTTTACCCCCACTGGATTCCAAATGCCTAAAAATCTTATAATACCAAATGTGAATCTATTGGCTCTTTTACATGTTACAGATTAGAGCAACCACTTTGGAAAAATTTGACACTTTTTTTCACTAAAATTGAATATTTGCAAACTCTAGCACTTCCATGATAAGGTATAAAACTAAGAGAAATTTTTGCACATGTACAACAGAAGATATGTAAAAAATGTTTATAGTGACACTATTCATATTAACAAAACGTTGAATCAATCAAAATATCCAAAAACAGTATAAAAATAAACTGTAGTATATTCACTAATTTAATATTATATAGGAGTAAAAATTAGTACAATATAGTGGCAAGTAACAATATGAATTTATTTTAGCAATACAATGTTAATGGACAGAAGTTCCAAAAACGATACAGAGTCTGACATTTTTATACAATTAAAAGAACAGTACTAGATATATGTTTGTGTATTCTTTAGAAAAATAGTTACAATAAAATGAGACAAAAGAAACAATAAACATAAGATTCTTAGTGATGCGCCTTTTGGGTGAGAGGAAAGAGAAGGATGGAATGTTAGGGGAACTAGCAGGCTTGATATGGGCTGTTGATAGAGTCCTAGCTTTTGTTTTGTGCAGTGGCTTTGTGTCACTACCCAAATAATGGAATCTTTATTCCATTATTAAAAATAAATAATTAGTAATGAACAAATAAATCAAAATGGCTATATCTGGATAAATAAGTGAATGGACATGAAGCAGGAATTAAAATTAATTTAATTCTGAGTGGTTGAGTTTCAAAATGAAAAGTAAAAATAAAATCAAAATGTTAATTATGTTTAAAATATATTTTCAGTATATTTTCTTTATTTTATTATTATACTTCAAGTTCTGGAGTACATGTGCAGAACATACAGGTTTGTTACATAGGTATACACGTGCCAGGGTGGTTTGCTGCACCCATCAACCTGTCATCTACATTAGGTATTTCTCCTAATGCTATCCCTCCCCTAGCCCCCCACCCCCTGACAGGCCCTGGTGTGTGATGTTCCCCTCCCTGTGTCCATGTGTTTTCATTGTTCAGCTCCCACTTATGAGTGAGAACATGCGGTGTTTGGTTTTCTGTTCTTGTGTTAGTTTGCTGAGAATGATGGTTTCCAACTTCATCCATGTCCCTGCAAAGGACATGAACTCATCCTTTTTTATGACTGCAAGTATTCCATGCTTTATATGTGCCACATTTTCTTTACCCAGCCTGGGCATTTTGCTCCACCTGAGTGCATTCCTCGTGGCCTGGGAGCATTTCAGATACCCTAGCGCACCTAGAACCTAAGCCCAAGGGTCCGGAGGATGGAGCCATGAGCCGGTCCTGGCTCCCCAGGACTACAGCACATAGTTCTGCGGTGCTGAACCAAGATCACTGGCCAGCACTCAAGTAGGGGAGAAGCCCACATTCTCAGAGCACTAAGAAGGGTAAGATGTGTGATTTCTTGGGCTGGCAAAGGAGCAGGACATACCTCCCTTTGCAGGGACAGTCTGAAAAAGGTATGGTCCATGTCTCTGCCATGGCCTCTGCTAGATGAATCCCTGTGGCTCAGAACACCTAACAAAAGAAATGTAGGCATGGTGTCAGTGATCAGAGGGAGCGCCCCTAAGGCCCAGGAAAAGTCCTAGTAGTGGAGTCACCTCTCTCCCAGCACACCCTGCACTGCAGAGCACTGCTGCAAATGTGAGGAAATACAAAAGAGCTGCACACCTAAGTGCCTATCTACCAACCATTACTCTTAAGTGCTATCTCCTGAATCACAGCCCAAACTACAATTCCAAAAATATTTTGCTAATATACCACCCACTGAAACCAAGGGCAAGAATTCAGCCACAAATAAAGTCCCTGTAAAGAGCCTTAGCCCTCTGAAAACATACAGAAATGACTACAGTCAACTTACATCATAGCTAAAGTAACATCCAACCTTCCCAGACAAGAAAGAATCAGCACAAAAACTTCAGCAATTCAAAAAGCCAGAGTGTCCCCTTACCTCCAAAGAAGTCCACTAGCTATCCAGCAATGGTTTTTAACCAGTCCGAAATGACTGAAATGACAGACGTAGAATTCAGAATCTGGATGGCAAAAAGCTCATTGGGATTCAGAAAAAAGTTGAAACCTAGTCCAAGGAATCCAAGCAATCCAGTAAAATAATTCAAGAGTGGAAAGACAAGATAGCCATTTTAGGAAAGAAACAAACTGAACTTTTATAGCTGAAAAATTCACTATAAGGATTTCATAATACAATTGGAACTACTGGCAGAATAGAACAAGTTGAGGAAAGAATCTCAGAGTTTGAAGATTGGTTTTTTGAATCAGATAAAAATAAAGAAAAAATTGAAAAAGTTAAGAAAACCTCTGAGAAATATGGGATTATGTAAAGAGACAAAATCTATGACACATTGGCATCTCTGAAAGAGAAGGAGAGAGAATAAGCAACTTGAAAAATATATCTGAGGATATAGTACATGAAAATTTCCCTAATCTCACTAGAGAGGTTTACATACTAACTCATGAAATACAGAGAACCCCATCTGGAAACTATACAAGATGACCATCCCCAAGGCACATGGTCATCAGATTCACCATGGTCACTGAAAAAAAATCTTAAAGGCAGCTAGAAAGGAGGGTCAGGTCACATATGGGGGAACCTTGTAAAGCTAGCAGTGGACCCTCTCAGGAGAAACCTTATAAGCAAGAAGAGATTGGGGGCCAATTTTTATCATCCCAAAGAAATTTCAACAAAGAATTTCATATACCACTAAACTAAGCTTCATAGGTGAAGGAGAAATAAAATTGTTCTCAGACAAGCAAAGGCTGATGGAATGCATTTCAACTTGACCAGCCTTAAAAGAGGTCTTCAAGGGAGTACTAAACATGGAATTGAAATAATAACACCTGCTACCACAAAACACACTTAAGCACATAGCCCAAAGACACTATAAAGCAAATACACAAGTCTACATAACACCCAGCTAACAACGTGGTGACAAGATCAAAATCTCAAATACCAATACTAATCCTGAATGTAAATGGGCTAAAAGCCTCACTTAAAAGATATATATAATGCCAAGAAGGATAAAGACATGACCCAACTCTCTGCTGTCTTCAAAAGACCCATCTCACATGTAATGACACCCATAGGCTCAAAGTAAAGGAGTAAAGAAAGATCTACCATGCAAACAGAAAACAAAAAAGGGCAGGAGTTGCTATTCTTATATCAGATAAAACAGACTTTAAATCAATAACAAGAGGGACAAAGAAGAGCATTACATAATGATAAAGGCTGTGATCCAACAAGAAGACTTAACTATACTAAATATATACACATCCAACATTACAGCACCCAGATTCATAAAACAAGTTCCTCTTAATATATGAAAAGACTTAGCCACGCAATAATAGTAGGAGATTGCAACACCCCACTGACAGGACTAAACAGATTATTGAAGCAGAAAACTCACAAAGAAACTCTGGACTTAAACTCAACACTTGATCAACTGGACTAATAGACATCTAGAGAACACCCCACCTAACAATCACAGACTATGAGATCAGAAGATGAGATGAGATCAGAAGATGAGAACATACTTCTGATCTGTATACAGAATATATTCTAAGATCAACCACATGCTCACTCATAAAGAAAGTCTTAATAAACTCAAAAAAATTGAAATCATACCAAACACACTCTCAGACCACAGTGCAATAAAAATAGAAAGCAATACTAAGAAGATCTCTCAAAACTGTACAAATACATGGAAATTAAACAACTTGCTCCTGAATAGCTCCTGGGTGAACACTGAAATTAAGGCAGAAATAAAAAAAATCTTTGAAAATAGGGACACAACTTACTAAAATCTCTGGAATGCAGGTAAAGCAGTGTTAAGAGGAAAGTTTATAGCACTAAACGCCTTCATCAAGAAGTTAAAGATTTATCATAAATTAACTTTGCACCTAGGAAAAAGAAAAAGAAAAAACCAACTCTAAAGCTAGCAGAAAAAAGAAATAACTAAAATTAGTGAACTGAACAAGATTGAGATACAAAATTCATAAAAAGGTCAATGAAACCAAGAGTTTGTCATTCAAAATAGTAAACAAGATTTACAGACTACTAGCTGGATTAACAAGATATAAAAGAAAATATCCAAATAGGTACAATCAACAATGACAAATATGACATTACAAGTGATCACACAGAAATACAAAAGATCCTTACAGGCTACTATGAACAACTCTATGCTCACAAATTAGAAAATCTAGTGAAGATGAATAACTTCGTGGAAACATGTAATCTCCAAAGATTGAATCAGAAAGAGATTGAAACCCTGAATAGAACAATATTGAGCTCTGAAATTAAAACAGAAATAAAAAACTGAGCAACCTAAAAAAAGCCCTGGACCAGACAGAGTCACAGCCAAACTCTACCAGATATACAAAGAAGAGCTGGGACCAATCCTACTGAACCTATTCCAAAAAATTGAGGCAGAGGAGCTCCTCCCTAACACATTCTATGAAACCAGTATCAACCTGATAACAAAATCTGGCAATCACAACGTAAAAGACAAAGTTCAGACCAATCCGATAAACATAGACACAACAATATTCAACAAAAAACTAGCAAACAGGATCCAGCAGCACATCAAAAATTAATACACATGAACAGAATTAAAAGCAAAAACCATATGATCTTTTCAATAAATGCAGAAAAAGCATTTCTATGCAGCAATGACATTCAGACTGAGAGTCAATCAAGAACACAATCCCATGTAGAATAGCCAAAAAGGAAGTGAAATATCTAGGAATACAGCTACATGCCACCACGCCCGGCCAATTTTTGTATTTTTAGTAGAGACAGGGTTTCACCCTGTTGGCCAGGATGGTCTCCATCTCCCAACCTCATGATCTGCCCGCCTTGGCCTCCCAAAGTGTTGGGATTACAGGCGTGAGCCACTGCATCTGGCCCACATGTGTCTTTATGGTAGAATGATTTATAATCCTTTGGGTATATAGCCAGTAATGAGATTGCTGGATCAAATGGTATTTCTAGTCCTAGAATCTTAAGGAATCGCTACACTGTCTTCCACAATAGTTGAACTAATTTACACTCACACCAACAGTGTAAAAGCATTCCTATTTCTCCACATCCTCTGCAGCATCTGTTGTTTCCTGACTTTTTAATGATTGTCATTTTAACTGGCATGAGATGGTATCTCATTGTGGTTTTGATTTGCATTTCTCTAATGACCAGTGCTGATGAGCTTTTTTTCATGTGTTTGTTGGCTGCATAAATGTCTTCTTTTGGAAGTGTCTGTTCATATTCTTCACCCACTTTTTGTTGGTTTTTTTTTCTTATAAATTTGTTCAAGCTCCTTGTAGATTCTGGCTATTACCCCTTTGTCAGATGGATAGATTGCAAAAGTTTTCTGCCAGTCTGTAGGTTGACTGTTCACTCTGATGATAGTTTCTTTTGCTGTGCAGAAGCTCTTTAGTTTAATTAGATCCCATTTGTCAATTTTGGCTTTTGTTGCAAATGCTTTTGGTGTTTTAGTCATGAAGTCTTTGCCCATGCCTATGTCCTGAATGGTATAGCCTAGGTTTTCTTCTAGGGTTTTTATGGTTTTAGGTCTTACATTTAAATCTTTAATCCATCTTGAGTTAATTTTTGTATAAAGTGTAAGGAAGGGGTCCAGTTTCAGTTTTCTGCTTATGGCTAGCCAGTTTTCCCAACACCATTTATTAAATAGGGAATCCTTTCCCCATTGCTTGTTTTGTTCAGGTTTGTCAAATATCAGATGGTTGTAGATGTGTGGCATTATTTCTGAGGCCTCTGTTCTGTTCTGTTGGTCTATATATCTGGTTTTGGTGCCAGTATCAAGCTGCTTGGGTTACTGTAGCCTTGTAGTATAGTTTGAAGTCAGGTAGCATGATGCATCCAGCTTTGTTCTTTTTGCTTAGGATTGTCTTGGCTATATGGGCTCCTTTTTGGTTCCATATGAAATTAAAATAGTTCTTTATAATTCTGTGAAGGAATTCAGTGGTAGCTTGATGGGAATAGCATTGAATCTAGAAATTACTTTGGGCAGTATGGCCATTTTCGTGATATTGATTCTTCCTATCCATGAGCATGGGATGTTTTTCCATTTGTTTGTGTCCTCTCTTATTTCCTTGAGCAGTGGTTTGTAATTGTCCTTGAAGAGGTCCTTCACATCCCTTATAAGTTTATTCCTTTGTATTTTATTTCTTTGTATCAATTATGAATGGGAGCTTGCTAGGTATCTTATTCCTTTGTATGAATTATGAATGGGAGCTTGCTCATAATTTGGCTCTCTGTTTGTCTATTATTGGTGTATATGAATGCTTGTAATTTTTGCACATTGATTTTGTATCCTAAGACTTTGCTGAAGTTGCTTATCAGCTTAAGGAGTTTTTGGGCTGAGACGATGGGGTTTTCTAAATATACAATCATGTCATCAGCAAACAAATAATTTGACTTCCTCTCTTACTGTTTAATACCCTTTATTTATTTCTCTGGCCCTTTTTTCCCTGGCCAACATTTCCAATACTATGTTGAAAAGGAGTGGTGAGAGAGGGCATCCTTGTCTTTTGCCAGTTTTCAAAGGGAATGCTTCTGGCTTTTGCCCCTTCAGTATGATATTGGCTGTGGGTTTGTCATCTATAGCTCTTATTATTTTGAGGTATGTTCCATCAACATCTAGTTTATTGAGTGTTTTTAGCATGAAAGGGTGTTGAATTTTATTGAAGGCCTTTTGTGCATCTATTGAGATAATCATGTGGTTTTTGTCATTGCTTCTGTTTATGTGATGGATTATGTTTATTGATTTGCATATGTTGAACCAGCCTTGCATCCCAGGGATGAAGCTGACTGGATCATGGTAGATAAGCTTTTTAATGTGCTGCTGGATTCAGTTTGCCAGTATTTTATTGAGGATTTTCTCACTGATCATCAGGGATATTGGCCTGAATTTTTCTTTTTTGTTATGTCTCTGCCAGGTTTTGGTATCAGGATAATGCTGGCCTCATAAAATGAGTCAGTGAGGAGTCCCTCTTTTTCTGTTGTTTGGAATAGTTTCAGAAGGAATGGTACCAGCTCCTCTTTGTAACTCTGGTAGAATTTGGCTGTGAATCTGTTCGGTCCTGGGCTTTTTTTGGTTTGTAGGCTATTAATTACTGCCTCAATTTCAGAACTTGTTATCGGTCTATTCAGGGATTTAACTTCGTCCTAGTTTAGTCTTGGGAGGATGTATGTGTCCAGAAATGTATCCATTTCCTCTAGATTTTTTAGTTTATTTGCATAGAGGTGTTTATAGTATTCTCTGATGGTAGTTTGTATTTCTGTGGGAGCAGTGGTGATCTCCCCTTTATCATTTTTTACTGTGTCTATTTGATTCTTCTCTCTTTTCTTCTTTATTTGTCTGGCTAGTGGTCTATCTATTTTGTTAATATTTTCAAAAAAAAACCAGCTCCCGGATTTATTGATTTTTTGAAGTTTTTCTTTTGTGTCTCTATCTCCTTCAGTTTTGCTCTGATCTTAGTTGTTTCTTGTCTTTTGCTAGCTTTTGAATTTGTTTGCTCTTGCTTCTCTAGTTCTTTTAATTGTGATGTTAGTGTGGTGATTTTAGACCTTTCCCACCTACTCCTGTGGGCCTTTAGTGCTATAAATTTCCCTCTAAACACTGCTTTAGCTGTGTCCCAGAGATTCTTTTATGTTGTGTCTTTGTTCTCATTGGTTTCAAAAAATCTTATTTATTTCTGCTTAATTTTGTTATTCACCCATTAGTCATTGAGGAGCAGGTTGTTCAGTTTCAATGTAGTTGTATGGTTTTGAGTGAGTTTCTTAATCCTGAGTTCTGGTTTGATTGCACTGTGGCCTGAGATACTGTTTGTTATGATTTCCGTTCTTTTGCATTTGCTGAGGAGTGTTTTACTTCCAATTATGTGGTCAATTTTAGAATAAGTGTGATGTGGTGCTGAGGAGAATATACATTCTGTTGATTTGGAGTGGAGAGTTCTGTAGAGGTCTGTTAGGTCCACTTGGTCCAGAGCTGAGTTCAAGTCCTGAATAGCTTTGTTAATTTTCTGTCTCATTAATATGTCTAAATATTGACAGTGGGTTGTTAAAATCTCCCGCTATTATTGTGTGGGAGTCTAAGTCTCTTTGTAGGTCTCTAAGAACTTGCTTTATGAATCTGAGTCCTCCTGTATTGGGTGCATATATATTTAGGATAGTTAGCTCTTCCTGTTGCATTGATCCCTTTACCATTATGTAATGCCCTTCTTTGTCTTTTTTGATCTTTGTTGGTTTCAAGTCTGTTTTATCAGAGACTAGGATTACAATCCCTATTTTTTTTTCCTTTCCGTTTCCTTGGTAAATTATTCTCCATCCCTTTATTTTGAGCCTATGTGTGTCTTTGCATGTGAGATGGGTCTCCTGAATACAGCACACTGATGGGTCTTGACTCTTTATCCAATCTGCCAGTCTGTGTCTTTTAACTGGGGGATTTAGCCCATTTACATTTAAGGCTAACATTGTTATGAGTGAATTTGATCCTGTCATTATGATGCTAGCAGGTTATTTTGCCCATTAGTTGATGCAGTTTTTTCATAGTGTCAATGGTCTTTGCATTTTGGTTTGTTTTTGCAGTGGTTGGTACCAGTTTTTCCTTTCCATATTTAGTGCTTCCTTCAGCAGCTGTTGTAAGGCAGGCCTGGTGGTGACAAAATCTCTCAGCATTTGCTTGTCTGTAAAGGATTTTATTTCTCCTTCATTTATGAAGCTTAGTTTGGCTGGATATGAAATTCTGGGTTGAAAATTCTTTTCTTTAAGAATGTTGAATATTGGCCCACGCTGTCTTCTGGCTTGTTGGGTTTCTGCAGAGACATCTGCTGTTAGTCTAATGGGGTTCCCTTTGTGGGTAACCCGACTTTTCTCTCTGGCTGCCCTTAACATTTTTTCCTTCATTTCAACCTTGGTGAATCTGACAATTATGTGTTGGGGTTGCTTTTCTTGAGGACTACCTTTGTGGTGTTCTCTGTATTTCCTGAATTTGAATGTTGGCCTGTCTTGCTAGGTTGGGGAAGTTCTCCTGGATAATATCCTGAAGAGTGTTTTCCAACTTGGTTTCATTCTCCCTGTCACTTTCAGGTACACCAATCAAATGTAGGTTTGGTGTTTTTACATAGTCCTATGTTTCTTGTAGGCTTTGTTTGTTCCTCTTCATTCTTTTTTCTGTAATCTTGCCTTCAAGCTTTATTTCATTAAGTTGATCTTCAATCTCTGATATCCTTTCTTCTACTTGATTGATTCAGCTATTGATACTTGTATATGGTTCACGAAGTTCTCATGCTGTGTTTTTCAGCTTCATCATGTCATTTATGTTCTTCTCTAAACTGGTTATTCTAGTTAGCAATTCCTCTAACCTTTTATCAAAGTTCTTAGCTTTCTTGCATTGGGTTAGAACATGCTCCTTTAGCTCAGAGAGGTTTGTTATTAGCCACCTCCTGAAGCCTACTTCTGTCAATTCTTTAAACTCATTCTCCATCCAGTTTTGTTCTCTTGCTCGTGAGGAGCTGCGATCCTTTGGGGGAGAAGAGGCATTCTGTTTTTTGGAGTTTTCAGCCTTTTTGCACTGGTTTTTCCTCATCTTCATGTATTTATCTACCTTTGGTCTTTGCTGTTGGTGACCTTCAGATGAAGTTTTTGAATGATTGTGATGTTTTGTTTTTTGTTGATGTTGATCTTATTTCTTTCTGTTTGTTAGTTTTTCCCCTAACAGTCAGGCCCATCTTCTGCAGGTCTGCTGGAGTTTGCTGGGGTCCACTCCAGACCCTGTTTGCCTGGGTATCACTAGCGGAGGCTGCAGAACCTCCAAGATTGCTGCCTGCTCCTTCCTCTGAAAGCTTCATCCCAAAAAGGCACCTGCCAGATGCCAGCCATAGCTCTCCTGTATGAGGTGTCTGTCGACCCATGCTAGGAGGTGTCTCCAAGTCAGGATGCATGGGGGTTAGGGAACAACTTGAGGAGGCAGTCTGTCCCTTAGCAGAGCTCAAGCACTGTGCTGGGAGATCAGCTGCTCTCTTCAGAGCTGGCAGGCAGGAATGTTTAAGTCTGCTGTAACTGTGCCCACAGCCGCCCCTTCCCCCAGGTGCTCTTTTCCAGGTAGATGGGAGTTTTATCTGTAAGCCCCTGCCTGGGGCTGCTGCCTTTCCTTCAGAGATGCCCTGCCCAGAAAGGAGGAGTCTAGAGAGAGGCAGTCTGGCTACAGTGGCTTTGCTGAGCTGTGGAGGGCTCTGTCCATTGGAACTTCCCTGTGGCTTTGATTACACTGTAAGGGGAAAACCGCCTACTCAAGCCTCAGTAATGGCAGATGCCCCTCCCCCCACCAAGCTCAAGCATCCCAGGTTGACTTCAGACTTCTGTGCTGGCAGCAAGAATTTCAAGCCAGTGGATTTTAGCTTGCTGGGCTCCGTGGGGGTGGGATCCGCTGAACAAGACCACTTGGCTCCCTGGCTTCATCCCCCTTTCCAGGGGGAGTGAATGTTTCTGTCTCACTGGCATTCCAGGTGCCACTGGGTTAAAAAACAAAAAACAAAAACAAAAAACTCCTGCAGCTAGCTCTGTGTTTGCCCAAATGGCCGCCCAGTTTTGTGCTTGAAACCCAGGGCCCTTGTGGTGTAGGCACCTGAGTCTGTGGGTTGCAAAGACCATGGGAAAAGCATAGTATCTGGGCCTCATAGCTCCATCCCTCATGGCACAATCCCTCACAGCTTCCCTTGGCCAGGGGAGGGAGTTCCCCAACCCCTTGCCCTTCCTGGGTGAGGCGACACCCCACCCTGCTTCTGCTCACTCTCTGTGGGCTGCACCCACTGTCTAACCAGTCCCAGTGAGATAAACTGGGTACCTCAGTTGGAAATGCAGAAATCACCTGCCTTCTGCATTGGTCTCACTGGGAGCTGCAAACTGGAGCTGTTCTTTTCGGCCATCTTGCTTCAATCCTGTGTCCTTATTTCTGAGTTATTTATTGTGTTGTTTTGTTTTGTTTTGTTTTGTCTGTGTGACTGTTTTTGTACCAGTACCATGCTGTTTTTGGTACTGTAACCTTATAGTGTAGTTTGAAGTCAAGTAATGTGATGCCTCCAACTTTGTTCTTTTTGCTTCAGACTGCTTTTGCTATTTTCTCTCTTTCTTGGTTCCATATGAACTTTAGAATAGCTTTTTCAAATTCTGTGAAAAATGGCATTGGTAGTTTGATAGGAATAGCATTGAATCTGTACATTGCTTTGGGCAGTATGGCCACTTTAACAATATTGATTCTTCGAATCCATCAGCATGGAATGTTCTTCCATTTGTTTGTGTCATCACTGATTTCTTTTAGCAATGTTCTATAATGGATCTCCTTGAAGAGATCTTTCACCTCCTTGGTTAGCTGTATTCCTAGGTATTTCACTTTCTTGGTGGCTATTCTAAATAAGTGGTGGATTGGACAAAGAAAAATGTACATATACACCATGGAATACTACACAGCCATAAAAAAGAATGAAATCATGTCCTTTGCAGCAACATGGATTGAGCTGGAGGCCATAATCCTAAGCAAATTAATGCAGGAACAGAAAACTAAATACTGCATGTTCTCACTTAAAGTGGGAGCTAAATATTGAGCACACAAGGACATAAATATGGGAACAATAGACATTGGGAATTACTAGAGTGGGGAGGGAGGGAGAGAAGTGAGGATTGAAAAACAACCTGTTGGGTAATATGCTCACTACCTGGGTGGTGGGATCCATATCCCAAACTTCAGCATCCTGCAATATAGCCATGTAACAAATCTACACATGTACCCTTTATCTAAAATAAAATGTCCAATTAAAAAAATAATAAACTTCTCAAAAAATTAGTCTTATTTACTTAAAGTTATACAGTTACACACAGACACACACACATACACACACACCTCTCACCCAGCATTTATTTTTGTTCTTTTGACGGATGATAATGAAGGTGAAATTTGTGGCATTAATTAACATCATTCAGCAAAGAACAGAACAGACTACTGCTGTATGGGTTTTGACAAGTAAATGGGTTGCAGATGTTCTTCTTGGTTCAAGTTTGGTGTTTTAAAAATGATATCAGGTCCATAGTTCATGGAGTTCTTCAGGACTTAGTCCTGGGTCCCCTTCTGATTCCACTGAATAGTCTCTCCCCCAGCTAATCTCATCTCATGCCATCCTGTGGTTTTGGATATCATGTCTAGGCCAGTGATGCCCAAACTTATATACCCAGTCCACTCTTCTTGACTGAGCTCTAAATTGATATATTCATCATCTACTTAATGTTTCCACTTTGATATCTCATGGGTATTTTAAACTCTTATTTGCCAAACAACTTTGGTTCTTCCCTGTCCAGCTGGCTTCTCATCTTTTCCATTATTTCAGTAAATGTGACTTCTATCCCCCAAGAGGCTCACCTCCGCCTCCCTCACCTCTTATACTGGTCAGGTTTTTTCACTTGTAATTGGCAGAAACCAAACTCAAACTAGCTAAATAGAAAAGAGCACTGTATGATTCATATAACTGGGTAAAATTCTGGGGTAGTTCTTGTAGTCAAATGGAATACTGTCAAAACCACAGCAACCAGGAGACTCTAACACTCGGGATTTGTCTCAATTTCTCTCCCTTTCTCTTCTCTCTGCATGGCTACCTCCTCGCCTACTTCTTGTGGGCCTTCTCCAAACACCCTCATACAAGATCGGCAGTTCTCAAGTCGCAGCCTTAAAACATTCTACAGAAGAAGGAATCTTCTGCTGTAGCTTCATAAGGAAAACCCCAAAAAAGGATTCTGACTGACCCAGCTTAGATCATTTGCCAATCATTGGTACAATCACTGTAGCCAAAAAGAAAGGATTAGTCAAACTTAGGGGACACAGTTTGTTCCACAAGTATTTGTAAGGAGTGTTTAATTCTGAGCCTACCATATAATTTGAATAGATCCTGTTTTGTGTATCAACTTCGAACATACTGGCCATCATATGTCTTCTCACTGGCCTGCCTCCACCATTTTGGGACCCATCAAATCCATTCTTAACAGTCATCAGCATGATCTTAAAAAACCTTAGACTGGTTATGTCTCTCTTCCATGTAAACACTTTAATGGCTTTCCATTGCTCCAAAAATAAAGCTCAAAATTCTTAGTGAGGAACCTACAAAGCCTTGTTCCTATGCCCCTGCCCAGCTTTATCTTCTCTTCCTTCTGGTCTCAGTTCAATTGCCAACACCTTGGCAAGATCTTTCCAAGCAATCCAGTCTCAATTACCCACCCACCAAATATTTATGCCAGTCTCTGTGACATCAACTTATTTTTTTCCGCATAGCAGTTATTAATCTCTGAATTTATCTTGTTAATTTATTTGTTTGATTGTTTTTTGTCTGTCTCCCACTCAATGTAAGCTCCATAAAAAACGTAGTACTTGTCACAAATGAGTGAATGAATGTATGAATGCATCTTCCACCATCCTCTGTTGCTCATTTTACTCTACCCAGAATGACCTCTTCTCTGTTCCTCCAAAACACCTAGCTTCTTACTTATTTCTCTTCACTTAAAATACTCTAGTGTCTGTTATATTTTTAAAATTACATTTTTTAAAATTATAAAATACAATGTGTATACAAAAAAAGTGACTGAAACACTTATGTACAGTTTCCCAAACAACAATGCAGCCACCATCCAAGTCAGGAAATACAACAGAGCCAGCTTATAGTTACAACTTCTTTGGGATATTTCCTCCCTGCTCTGCTCAATCCCAACACAATTTCCCTTAAAGTTTACTAGGATTAGAAGGTACAGTTTCTGTTTTACCTTGACATTAAGGATGCAGTTCATTTGATTGGTAGGAGGATCTTATCTGGTGAGATTGGGTTTAGACACTTGTTCCCTTCTCCCTGGGAGGTCATTAAAACAGAAGTTCAAGATCATCAGGGTTGGCAAATGCCCAAGAGCAAAGGTAATCTCATTGTTCACTTTAGGTTCCTGTGTTCTTCCTCCCCCTTATATTTCCACCTGGTTTTGTGAGTGTGTGCATGTGTATCTATACATACACTTATACACATATCTACGTATACCCTTAGGCACACATATGCACATATACAGTGTATATTTTGGCCTTGTTAGTCATGCTCTCTGAGAGGGTTGATTTCTTAAGTTGAATTCCCTCAAAAGCAAACCCTGAGACAAGGATTTGGGAGCAAGTAATTTATTTGGAGATGAGCCCAGAAGTCACAGGCAAGGAAAAGGGATGTGAGACAGGGAAAAGAGGAGTACTGAAGTTAATATAAGTATTACAGCTGTAGGCAACTAGAGCCCAATCCTGCTGTGAGCCCTCTGAGAGCCTATGAAACCCAACTCAGCATGTCCCACTAAGGGGTGATGAAGCTGAGATATTTATTTACAAATTCTGCCCTTCAACCAGGTAGCTCCAGGTAATTTGGTCTTACGCACTTCCAGCGCCCCCTGAGCACAGGCCAGGCGCACTCTGGTGTATGGAGAACTGTAGTCAGAGAGACACCAAGGGTATGTATAGCAGTAACTATAGTTGGTTCCAATAACTTAGCCTGCCATATTCCCACCATCCTTCAGCTTTTGGCCTCCCAGCCCTGAAGTACTGTGGATTGTGTCCCCCACTTTATTTTATCTCATGGTCCCCTGTATTGTTTTATTTATAGCACGATCACAAATGTAAGCATATAGTTATTTGTGTGATTCAACACCTGTTTTGTCTAGTACCTTGCTACTCAAATGCCAGCAACATTGACAGTAAAGGGAGTATATTAGAAATGCAGACTCAGCCCTACTCCAGACACACTGAACCAGAATTTGGATATTAACAGACTCTTGTTGTTTTCTGTACACACATTAGACATTTGAGAAACTCTGCTTCACTAAACTGTACTTTCTTGAGGGTGGCATTGTGTCTGCCTTCTTCAGCATTTATCCTAGGTTCCTAATAATGTAGCTGTTATATAGTCAGCACCCAGAAAATAAGTTGATCAAACACACACACACACACACACACACTACACACAATATGATAAAGTGCCAGTGATTTAGAAAAATGTTGTACGTTAGTCATTGAACACAGAGAATTTTGTAACTTTTTGTTAATAGATTACTGTTCCATGAGACCAGCAGTGTTCTAGGCCCATTGGCTAGTGTGCCTTCTGATAAATTGATCTGATGTACTGCTTTGGGACCTGTTGTTGAGAAACTCTTATTATAACAAAGTGAGCAGTATTTTATTTAGATTTTTGGGCAGCTTATGATGTCCAATCGAGCTGTAGCTCCATGCTACGATCTGGTCTGGGAGGATTTGCATGGTAAATGTGCTTGCCCATCAGGGCGTGCCTTAAGTCTGAAAGTGTGCCTTTTCTGTTGGTACTTGCAGAATTTCCAATTCACAGAGCTGGAAGAGGGAGGGAAAAAATCACAGCTACTTAAATTCAAATCCTATTAGGCTTATCTATGATCACTTTGTAAGTACTAGGGATAATCAGCAGTTACTTAGCATTTACCTTGTAGAGGCAGTAGAACTCTGCAATTATTATTATCTAGGCTTGATATCTGGCTCATTTTAAGGCCTATGTATCTGACAAATCCACACACCCCTGCACAACAGATTCTATTTTGGCTTGTCTATTCCAGATATGTGATTTATTCTTACAATTATAAAGTGTTTCAAATCTGATACATTCAGAGGATTTTTGTTTGACCTTTAGATTTAGCATCAAATGTTTCTGTTTTAAAACAGCAGGGATTTAGGTAAATCTATTCAATAAAATTGGATGCCATCTATCTTTTTGGTATGTTATCCCTTTGTTTTGTATGGATGACACATAATATGATGTGATTTACCACAGTAGGAAGAGATGGAAAAAGGCTGCTTTCTAAATATACACTAGTTGCAGCATACCCACATCTATCTATGAAAAACTGAAGTTCATTATTATTATATTTTTGCTAAATTACACCTTTTTTGAATGTTCTTATTGTGGGTTTGGCTTTGGAGTTTATTAAGATTGGGATAATTTGGACCAAATTTCTTTCAATAACTCATATTTAGAATAGGAGGGACTGTGGTGGGGTGGGGGGAGGGGGGAGGGATAGCATTGGGAGATATACCTAATGCTAGATGACGAGTTAGTGGGTGCAGCGCACCAGCATGGCACATGTATACATATGTAACTAACCTGCACAATGTGCACATGTACCCTAAAACTTAAAGTATAATAAAAATAAATAAATAAATAAATAAATAAAAGAATAGGAATTAATCATCTTATACACATTTATGAATATGTCATTGTTTAATAACCCTTCTGACAATACTCTTTAAATGACTGGATAGATGCTAATTGGAAATTTGACTGGGAATCCTCTTGAGCATTTTAGTTTTCCTGTTCTTCTATTTAAAAGGGTCACTCTTCTATTTAAAAAGAGTCACAGGAGATGGAGGTGGAGAACAAAGAGGGAGTTTAGAAATACATTGTTCTTTACAATTTGGTGCCTTGAATGACTGCAGTGTTCCCAGAATGATGTTTAAATGTGCATTCGGGAGGAGGTGGGGGAGATACAGTGGCTTCTTATGTACTTTAAGTCTTCCACCCTTTGGCATCAACACTCTCAGCTAAGGAAAGGGCTGTGTAAATCCCTGCTCACTCATTCCCAGAGCCTCTTTGAGGCATAGTAGGAGAGTGGAGAGAATTCAGAAAATGTTTTGCTGGGTCCCCTTTGCTAAAGGACAGACACATTGATTTTGCTGCATCTAGGAATCACAACCCAGCGGTGAGGGGCAACTCCCCTGATCCTCCACTGACTCTTTCATGTTGCAGATAAACTCTGTCTTTTGAGGTTATAAAGAATAGGAATAAGAGCTCAATGTGCTGGCTGCTTGAATAAACAACCTCTACCTATGATATTTCTCAGCCTCAGATGGACTCGCCACCAGTCTTTTGTCTCCAAATGTGTTCCACCTGGGAGTAATAGAAATATTTTAATCCATCTGCATGAAAATGAAGGGCATGATAAAGTTAGAATGGGTTTATTACTCAACCCCCATTTTCTTCCCACTAACTCCTCACTGAAACATTTGGCTTTGGACATGCCAGGATCATCCAAAAACTTCGTCAGCCAGGATGCTTCTGGTATGCTTAGCAGCACCCATTAGGCACCTAATCAGCACTTTACAATTTTTTAAATTGTGTCTAAAAAAACACATAACATAAAATTTACCATCATAACCATTTTTAAGTGTACAGCTCAGTAGTGTTAAGTATATTCACATGTTGTGCACTGTTCGTAGCAATGTAAAATGGTGCAGCTGCTATGGAAAACTGTATAGTGGTTCCTCAAAAATCAAAAATAGAATTACCATATGATTGCGCATTTGAATCTGAGTACATCTCTAACTTAATTGCCAAGATAGAGCATAACTCTGTGGCCTGTGGTGCAGCAGTCCCCAGGGGCAGAGATTGGAGAAAGAAAGTTTATAGTCACCCAGTTCGATGTCACTAATATCTCCCTCCTTCATACCTTATATCTATTTAGCTATTAAATTCCGTTAGATTGTCTCATCAATGTTTTTTCTTTTATCTTTTACTTCTTCTCCAATCACATAAGACTGATTGTCAAATTCTTACTCAAGAAGACAGTCTGCAAGGTATCCAAAGCATCAAAAGCAAAGGAACTGAAACAGAGAATTTGCCCATTTATTTAACATATATCATTGAACACCTACCATGTCCTTAGCACTAAGCCATATACTGAGAATGCAGTGACAAATAAAAAGAAAATGTCTCCTTGCTTTAAAGGTACTTATAGTCTAATGAAAGGCAATAAATAAATTAACAAATGAATAGTTACGTAGTATAAGTCTATGAAGGAAAGCAACAGGGAGCTACCACAGAGGATTACAGAGAAAATCCACTTAGACTACTTGGTCCTGGAAGGACCAGGCTGCATCACTGAAGCAGAGGTCCCAGGATAAGCAGCTGTTCTAAGTGCAGAAACAGGGTCAAATCCTACTGGAGGAGTGAATGAGAACGGTAGCTTCACATCACATCTGTGAATCCCCGAGTGAATGTTGGAGCTGCCTTTTCAGGGGTGCTGGTGGTGAGAACACTCAGGGCCAACCTGCTTTCCACTTGTATACCTGCACTACCTGCAGTCAATTGAGTCCTGAATTCTTTCAGAAGGGTAACCTACAGTCACAGCACTTAATTCCTTTTTTTTTTTTTTTTTTGAGACAGAGTCTCTCTCTTGTTGCCCAGGCTGAAGTGCAATGGCACCATCTCAGCTCACGGCAACCTCCATCTCCTGGGTTCAAGCAATTCTCCTGCCTCAGCCTCCAGAGTAGCTGGAACTACAGGCGTGTGCCACCACGCCCGGCTAATTTTGTATTTTTAGTAGAGACAGGGTTTCACCATGTTGGCTAGGCTGGTCTCGAGCTCCTGACCTCAGGTGATCTGCCCGCCTCAGCCTCCCAAAGGGCTGGGATTACAGGCGTGAACCACCGTGCCCGGCCTTAATTCTATTCTTAACACTAAAAGCATCTTGCCTTCAGACAGGTTTTGTTCCATGCCCAAATGACACAGACTGCCTATTTCAAGTTAAGACTCTGCTTCAAGAGAGAAACCACAGATACCTTCTCATCTTTCTTGTCCCTTCTTCCATGAACAATTAGCCACTCTATCCTGTGGTGCCACCTCAGATATGCCTTAAAGGCATCCACTGTGCTCTTTCTATTCTCAAAACCTCAGTTCCTAAGTCACATAGATCCTTATAATAGCCTCCAAACCAGGCTTCCAAATCCACTTCTGCAACATCTCTCTACCCCTCCTGCCCCAGTGCACTCTGCTCTCCACACCACCTCCAGCTTTATTATAAATTCACATACACTTAGGTGGCCCTCCTCTCCCCATCCCCTATCCTGTTAAAATATCGCATGGCTTCTTATTTGCCTTTAGTAGAACCAGAAGCCTTTGCAGCATGAACATACTGCTCTGTATCATTTGCTATTGTTTCCTGTGTGTTCACCTTGGCTTCCCACCTACATGTCTTGAAGTCATTAATACTTTGTAATGGGACTATATTTGTACCCTCCAGAGCAACTAGAATAGCAATGAGCACATTGTTTGATTAATATCAATAGCTGTTAAATTAAGCTCATTAAGTGTCCTGTTTTATTGCTAGAGTTTAGTCAGAACCATGATTTACCTTTTCATAATTAAAATAAGTAAACGTCTGCTTTATTTGACCAATTGGTTGCCTGTGGTGACTACTGTTCTCATTTTGAGACTTTGGTCATGCTATATACTAGTGGTCATTTTTTGTGAGGGTGAATGTTATCCTCACAATGAACCATCCACTCAGTTACATCAGACACTGCTCACAGAGTTCAGCAAACAAATGTGCTCTCCTTTCAAAACAGTCGGATGGAAAATAGCCTCAAGGTGTAAATCTTTTCGTTCTTTAGGTACAAAGGGGACACATTAAATGTGATCTCAAGTTTAAACTGTGTATGCTGTCAAAGAAATTCAAATGGGGGCACCTCTTATTATATTGGACCCAAGGTGAGTGTGAAAAATATACCTTCCATTGACATGATGAGAGAGAATTACTTTCTTTCTTCTTTCCACTAACGTACTCCAAGGGATTAATTCTGTGCCAGCAAAGCTCTTGGCAAATTTTCATGTTGTATCCTGAATAGTCATCAGGGGTTATATTGCACTCATACCTTTTATTAATTTCAAATATTCTGCAGTCTTAAGCCAAAATAAATAAATAAATACTAGAAACTACTGAACTTGGCAACTGTCTCCACTTGAGACCCATTAGAAAAACAACCAAGATACTCTTTAGTAAAAATTTGGTTTGGTTTGGATTTCACCATCAGAGAATTCTCTTTGATTTGTAGATGTACAATCTCATCCCAGGAAATTGCTTCAGTTTCTTCCCATCCTGAATACAAGGGAAGTAATATTTTTTTCTTTGCATTATATTTCAATCTTGTCTCTCTTAACTGTTATTTAATTTGCCTAAAATTATAATTACCAGGGGACCTAATGCATTGGATAATGAGAAAAAAATAAGTTATTATAGGTTGAAAATTATAGTCATCTAGTGTTTTAAAAATTCACTCAGAACAACTTTTAATAAGATAAATTTTTCAGTTCCTTCCCAATTATAGTGAAACCACTCACTAATCTTCACTACTGGAAAGCTAGACTTGTCACAAAAGGGAGTTGTCCTCTCCCATGTAGTTGCTCTATGTCAAGTCCCTTGCTACCTATTGCGATATCAGTTTTCCTGATATATATCCATCACCTCTCTTCCACCTACTCACGTTATTTCTCCAAAAGGAATTACTTCATTGATTTTTGGCTGTGATATTTACTCACTGTTAATAGAAAATGTCAGGATGGTAGGAAGGACTTGTTTGATATTTATAATTTTTATAAGAATCCGTAAGTCATTTTCTCTGAATTAAAAAAAAAAAAACATTCCTTTGAAATTTCAGAATGCATCTGTTACTCAACACAGAGTGTGCCTAAATCAGTACATATATTCTTACATATCATATTTATGTTCTCATAAGGCCAGATTTTTTTTAAAATGACTTCTAGTTTCTGTGCTCCCACAAATTGTATTTGTCTCCTTTGTCCACATATACAATTGTGTCTTTATTGCCTTAAATGAGTCAATTGAGATCCCAGTAAAGTTACAATACAAAAGGAGGTCTTTTGGTTTGGAAAAATGAAAACTGCCTATTACACTTATGTACGCTGATTTTTAATGGCACTTAATCAAAACTTCTAAGAGTTTTATTCTGAAAAGTTCTTATAAGAGCATAGTCTAAATCTTTCTTAGCTATATTCTTATTAAACTTAGAGTGTTATTATATCCATGTAAGTTCTGGTTAAATTATGTTTTGATTATGACTAATAGTCACAAGTATGGTAAAGGGTATCCATAGGTGGAGAAAGAGGGTACTAGGAAGCTGAGAGGTGGAAAGAGTGGGAGTAATGAGGGGCAGGTCTGCTTGTTCATTGTTTATCTCCCTATAGGATAGAGAGGGGTCATAGGGTCAGGCTTCCTCCTTATTGCCATTCCCATTTCTTCACAACTGGGGAGACTCAACTGCAAACATGGCTTATTAAGGAATCACCAGGAGAAGTTAGCCATGAAAAGGAAGAACATGGCTGCTGTTGACATGTGATATCTCAGTGCTGGGCATGAAGTAGGTTTTCCTTCATCATCCACCTGGAAATGTGTGGTGTATGCACAGCATGTGTTATTACTTTGGCTTAGATTGCGGGAATAATGATAGGTTTGGTGGGGAGGCTATTAAAGAGAAGTAAATTCTCCTTCTTTCTTCTTGTTCTGAAACAGTTTAATAAGTCATTTTTGCCTGGGGGATAAAAATAAAAGATGGAAAATTCTTTTTAGCAAATAATATGTTACAATTCATTTCATGTTTCTATTATAAAACAAGAAGCAATTTGACTAAACAAAATCTGGAACTGAAGTAGTTTATGATGGTGCTTTTTTTTTCACCTTTTATTGACAGAAAGCTATTTTGGAAACATTGAGAATTTGAATAATGTATTTGTCTGAATTAACAAATTATTGTTTAAATGTTTAAAATAGCATTTTATTACAATTATGATTGCCTCAAACAGGTAGGGAATTTCACAAATGAATAGGGAAACAAAAGAATGTTACATGGACCATTTATTTTCTAATAGTTGTAGCTGAGAAATGAAATTTGTCTGTTGACTGTGGGTGGTGAATGTTGCCATAGCAACCTATTCCTTAGGCAAAACTGGAGGGTAATCATTGTGACGAGGGTAAAAGTCAGAAAGCTGACTTGTGAAGATATATTTTTGGGCAATGTGAGATCATGAATATTTTTTTCTAAGATACGTGTGGGAGAGCAGCTCTGGAAGAGTTAAAGGTCTTAGGTGAGAGGTGCTGGGTATGCTTTGGCTTAAGCATTTTATCATTATGGGGACCGATGATTTTGGTTCATACAGTGATAAGTCTTGCATTTGCTAGCTGCAGCACCAGCCAAAGGGAGAAATAATTGAGACTATTTTCTCATACGTAATAATAACAGCAGGAGCTCATACCTATTTCACCAGGTGCTCTTCTGAGTACCTTACACATATTATTTATTGTAATCTTCACAAGGAACTCCAAAGTAATATTGTTAATTACATTTTATAGATAATGAAACTGAGGCACAGGAAAGTTCATTAACTATCTTAAGGTCATTCAGTTGATAAGTGACCAATAGAAATGGAACCCAGACCATGATCTCTGAGTCAGTGCTGCCCTAGCTCTTATGTTTTGCTGCCATGCAATGTGATTAAAAAGCATGATGTGAATGATGGGAATACATCAGTTTTTGAGAGGAGGTTCTACTTTTTATTTCCTCAGAAGTTAATAATTACCTTAAATGAAGAGAGGATCCTAGCAGTAAATCCTTGAGTGAAATAAACCATAGAGGCTTTCTCCCTATTGGGAATTTTTAAAAGAAATCGTGTGTGGGAAGGACAAGTTGGGGACTATTGGATTGAAACTATCCCAGCTCTTAAGATCTGTCAGTAGAACCTGCTCTGCAAGTGTTGGGTAGAAGGTCTATGGCCATGAATGTAATTCCCTGAATTCATGACCCTCCTCTAGGAGACCAAGGCAAGCCATTTTAACCCTTCTCCTTCAAAAATGAAAAATAATAGTTTACATTCCCACCAGTAGGGTAGAAGTGTTCCCTTTTCACCACATCCACGCCAACATCTATTATTTTTTGATTATGGCCATTCTTACAGGAGTGAGGTAGTTTCACACTGGAGTTTTGATTTGCATTTTCCTGATCATTTAGTGATGTTAAGCCTTTCTTCATATGTTTGTTGGCCATTTGTATATCTTCTTTTAAGAATTGTCTATTCATGTCCTTTTTGATGGGATTGTTTGTTATGTTCTAGGTAATTTGAGTTCTTTGTAGATTCTGGATGTTAGTCCTTTGTCGGATGTACAGATTGTGAATATTTTCTCCCACTCTGGGAGGTAAATGTCCATTTACCCTGCTGACTGTTCCTTTTGCTAGTACAATCACTGTGGAAAACAGTGTGGAGATTCCTTAAAGAACTAAAAGTAGAACTACCATTTGATCCAGCAATCCCACTACTGGGTTTCTACTCAGAGGAAAATAAGTCATTACACGAAAAAGATTCTTGTACATGCATGTTGATAGCAGAATTGCAAAAATATGGAACCAGCCTAAATGCCCATCAATCAACCAGTAGATAAAAAATTGTGAGATATATATATATATATATATATATATGATGGAATACTACTCAGCCATAAAAAGAAACAAATTAATGGCATTCGCAGCAACCTGGATGGAACTGGAGACTATTATTTTAAGCAAAGTAGCTCAGGAATGGAAAACCAAATATTGTATGTTCTCACTCATAAGTGGGAGCTAAGCTATGAGTATGCAAAGACATAAGAATGATACAATGGACTTTGGAGACTCAGAGGAAATGGTTGGGGGCGGTGAGGAGCTAAAGACTACAAATTTTTTTCAGTGTATACTGCTTCGGTGATGGGTGTACCAAAATCTCACAAATCACAACTAAAGAACTTACCCATGTAACCAAATACTACCTGTTCGCCAAAAACCTATGGAAATAAAAAATAATAAAATAAAATAAAATCACTGAACTATCTGCAAAAAAAAAAAAAGGAAAAGAATGGCTGGATTTGTTGCAGAGGTATTACAAAAATCAAATGATGCAATGAAAATGATTCGTAAACTCAACAGAACAGAGCAAACACAAAGAGAGTATTATTAGAGCTAATGACCTTCAGCATTATTTTCAGATTTTCCAGGCTTTGATAATAAGTGTGTATGTATTTGCTTATCTAGGGAGGATGTGAGACTGGAATCTGGTTTTAAATGGCAAACCATTCTTTCTGGAAGGTTATTCAGAGTATAGAGAAGGAAATCTATTTAAAATGAATTCGTAGGACCATGCTAAGAGCTAACATGTATTGATGGCTTACCACATGCAAGTCACTGTTCTTAGCACTTTTGTCTGCTTTAATTCATATATTCTCTACAATAATTCCATGTACTAGGTACCATTTCTATTTTCCCAACATTTATAGATGAGAACCTAGAGAAGATAGATATAAAGTAAACTTACCCAAGGTCATGGAGCTACAAATTTCAAATCCAGGTCTCAAAACCTGGTGCTTAACTCTGGAGTCAATCCTCGTAACTGCTATACTGTATTACCCTTTATTATGTATTATTATTTCATAAAAAATTGGTGTAAATGTGATGCATCAGCCTGTGTGTGTGTGTGTGTGTGTAAATTTTTGTTTATTTTTAGTTAAAAAAACTCTTCTAAACTGTTTGGGCAATACATATGTTTAACTACTAAGATAACAGGGAACATTAACTCAATAAAATGTGTAATTTTAAAAATATTAGTTATTTCACAGATGGACAGTTTTGTGAAAGTGTCATAAGAAAAGAGTAGTAAAATCCTGGCTAAGAAGCCTAGGTTATGCCATCATCCATTTAATGTATTTATGCAGCAGATCTGAATGCCAAATATTCCTGGGAGGAAAGGATACATCTGCCATTATGTTTGTTTTCTGGGAGCTTTCAGTCCAGATGTGGAAATAGGATGTGTGCATGGTAGGAAAAGGTAGCAAACAAGAAGTTCATGTAAAATGCTAAAAGCCTTCAAAGGGATATAAGTACTTCTGGTGGGATTGGGGGTGAGACATGAGCATGGCTTGTTTTTCTCCCTTTTGTCTATAAGTAACATTATTATTTGCTCCATTATATACTCCATTAACTTTATTGTTAACATGTATTACAGGTTACTAACTTACTATCTTATGGATTCTGCCTATGTCTCATAAGCTATTTGTTTACTCATTATACTTAAGTATTATACACCATGACTTTTACTTACATTTCTGATGTGGTCTGAATGTTTCTGCCCCTCACCCCTGCTCCCAAATTCATGTGCTGAAACCCAATTACCAATGTGATGGTATTAGAAGGTGGGGCCTTTGGGATGTGATTAAGTCAGGAGGGCAGAGTGACCTTATAAAAGAGGCCCAGAGAGCTGCCTTGATCCTTCCACCACCTGAGGACACAGCAATAAGGTACCATTTATGAAGCAGGAAATGAGCCTTCACCAGATACCAAATCTGCCAGCATCTTGCTCTTGGACCTCCTAGCCCACAGAACAGTGGGCAATACCCAGTTTATGGTATTTTGTTACTGTAGAATAAAGACAAGGTCATAGGCTATCAACTTTATCTATACTTAACACTTCTTTTGCATTTCACCATCTTGTTTGTTTTATAGTCTTTTATCACAAAATTGAATATTCTCAAATAATACAGCAAACTTATATTAGAAGGTTTGATGTGACATGATCTGTCTTCAGTGCTTATGTAAAGTTTACCTGGGAAGCCACACAATATAAAGACTGAAGAGAAGGAAGCTAAGGATAGAACTTATGGGAATGTCCACATACAGCAAAAGGGGAAGGAAGGTGAGCCAAAATTCCAATGTCATTTTCTTTGTAGATGTGTAAAAAACAATCTAAAATTTGTATAGAACCAGAAAAAATCCCAAACTGACAAAGCAATCTTGAGCAAAAAGAACAAATCTGCAAGCATCACATTCCTTATTTCAAAATATATTATGAAGTGACTGTAATCAAAACAGCATGGTGCTGTCATAATAACAGATACCAACCAATAACAGAAACCAATGGAACAGGATAGAAAGCCTAGAAATAAACCCAAGTCTTTATGGTAAATTTATTTTCACTAAAAGTGTCAAGAACACACAATGGGAAAAGGACAGTCTCTTTAGTAAATGGTGCTGGGAAAACTGGATATTCACATGCAGAAGAATGAAATTGGACCCTTATCTCGCACCATTTACAAAAATCAACTCAAAATGGATGAAAGACAGCATGGAAGACCTAAGAGTGTAAAGCTGCTGGAAGAAAACATGAGAATAGGAGAGACAACATTGGTATGGGAAATGATTTCTTGGATAGGACTCCAAAAGCACAGGCTACAAAAGCAAAAATACACAAATGAGATTACATCAAAATAAAACTTTTCTGCAAAGAAATAAAAATTAACAGAGTAAAAAGACATTCCATGGATTGGAAGAATATATCTGTAAACTGTACATCTGATAAGAGACTGATATAAAAAAATAGGAACTGAAACAACTTAATAGCAAGAAAGGAATAATCTGATTTTAAAATGGGCAAAGGATCTGAATAGACATTTCTCAAAATAAGAGTTAAGAAGGGCGAACAGATAAATGAAAAACTGCTCAACATCTCTAATCATTACGGAATTACAAATCTAAACCACAATGAGTTATCATCTCACACCTGTTAGAATGGCTATTATCAAAAAGACAAATGAGAAGTGTTGATATAGGAGAATCTTGTACACTGTTGGTGGGGATGTAAATTAGCATAATCATTTTGGAAAACAGTATAGGGGTTCCTCAGAAAACTTAAAGCAGAATTACCATCAGCAATGCCACTTCTGGGTATATATCCAAAGGAATTGAAATTGGTATGTTGAAGTGATATCTGCACTCCTATGTTCATTTCAGCATTTTTACAAGAGTCAAAATATGAAAACAAGCTGAGTGTCCAACCTAAGAATGCATAACAAAAATGTGGTATATATACACAATGCAATACTATGCAGCTCCCCCATAAAGAAGGGACTTCTGTCATTCAAGACTATGTGAATGGAACTGGAGGGCATTATGTTAAGTGAAGTTAGGCAGGCACCAAAAGACAAATACTATATGATCTCACTTGTGTGTGAAATATAAAAAAAGTTGATCTCATAGAACAGAGAGTATAAATTGGTTACCAGAGGATGAGGGGCAGGGTAGTAAGGAGGCAGAGAGATGGGGACAGGGAAGATTTTCATCAAATAGTACAAAGTTTCAGTTAGACTGAAGGAATAAGTTTTAGTGATCTATTGTACTGCATGGTGACACCAGTTAATGATGCATATTTCAAAATTACTAAAATAATAGATTTTTAACATTCTTATGAAGAGGGTAACTTGGTGAAGTGATGGATATGTTAATTATCTTGATACATAGATGCATCAAAATGTAAACATAGATCAAAAATCACATTGTACCCCATAAATATACACAATTATTATTTGTTAATCCAAAAGGAAGGAAGGGGGCAAGAGAGGAGAGAGGAAAGAAAGAAAAAGAGAAAGAAAATAAAAAAGAAAGAAAGAAAGAAAGAAAGAAAGAAAGAAAGAAAGAAAGAAAGAAAGAAAGAAAGAAAAAGAAAAAAAGAGAGAAGAGAGAGAAAGGAAGGGAGGGAGGGAAGGTAGGTCAGAGAAGCAGGAGAGCCAAGTTTTGTTTTTGTTTTTTAAGGATCATGAAAACCAAGGGAAGATGTTTAAATTTAGGATATGCTGAAACTGTGAGATTAGGGAATCAAACCAAAAGAGTCCCTGAAGATGCTGGTAGAGGAGAAGCCTTTCCCAGAAGATAGAATCTCTGTGGAAGCTTTGACCATATCCTGGCTGTCAGAGAACAATGGCAATAAGCAATGAGTGGTATAAGTGAGGAGTATGGACTTGGGATGATGTATAACACGGAGGTCAAATGCACAGGTGTTGACATCTATTGGATAAAGTCCCAGCTGGCAGTTTGACGTTGGACAATTTAACCTCTAAAAAGACTCAACTTCCTTAATTGTAATAACATAATAATAGTATTTGTAGGGCTGTTGTAAAGCACATAAAAGTAAGAACCTAATACATTATAGCTATTATTTTTATTTCTATTTTAATAGATATTAGGGAAAAAATGTTAAGAATATAGAAAATTCATTCATAACTAAAGAAGAGGATTTATTTCACAGGACACAGCAAAGAGGTTAATAGAGTGTAAAATACAAATACAGAGGGAAAGATCTAGGCTAAATGTGGGGAAAGGCAGTGGCCAAAGAGTTGATAGTCTGATTATCCAAAGCTAGATCTCAGGGTGGGCTGGTCCTACCTATTTCCCAGTTCTTACATAATTTCATTAATGTGTATGCCTGGAAAAAGATGACTAAATAAAATACCAATAACTCTATTTTTGGGTCAGTGCCAGTAGGGAGAGGCACAATCATTTGGGCATAATTTTATCAGTGGGAGGTCTGGGAATGAGTTTGGATGCAGTCCTTTTCAGGTATTGTGAAATTTCTTAGTAAGGAGAAAAAATTTAAAACATAAACTAATTCATGAAATCCTCTTATTAACTGTTACTGTGATAAAAATCTATGTTACAAAATTATACACAAGGTTAAAATCATAGACCATTCATTTGTGCTTAAAAAATGTTTAAGAGCACAAATCCATTGATTCCTTTGGAAATGCAAAATAAAATTTAACCTTGACTTAAAATTTATTTCCATTCCCTTCTACCATGTTTCTTTCCATCCACTACAATTCAGTCTTGCTGGTTTAGTTATGAGAGGAGGAGGGGTAACAGCAGGATAGCAAGGCAGATGCAGTGTGGTATGAATTGAAGGATAAAGTTATGTTTGAGATAATGCAAGAACAATACGAGGACAGAGTTACTGAAACACATTTGAATCAATGTAAAAAATTAGCATATTATTACTGGACCCATTGAATAGCTCAAGGAACCTATTGAACTAGAGAAATGCCACTTAAACAAGAACATCTTGTTTTCTGGTAGAAAAGGGACAAAGATTCAACACGGTATGCCAATCAGAGAAAATGTGCAATTTATATAGATGAGAACTTGATTCTTTCTAGACGCATGATAGGTAAGAAAATTTGGGCCGGGCGCAGTGGTTCACACCTATAATCCGAGCACTTCGGGAGGCTGAGGCGGGCGGATCACCTGACAGGAGTTTGAGACCAGCCTGGCTAACAGGGTGAGACCCTGTCTCTACTAAAAATACAAAAATTAGCCAGGCATGGTGGCACGTGCCTGTAATCCCAGCTAGTCTACTCGGGAGGCTGAGGCAGGAGAATCACTGGAACCCGGGAGGCGGAGCTTGCAGTAAGCCGAGATCGCGCCACTGCACTCCAGCCTGGGTGACAGAGCAAGACTCCGTCTCAAAAAAAAAAAAAAAAGAAAGAAAAAGAAAATTTGAAGATGAGTAAGATCTTTCTCACGATATGTTCTGCTATTAACTAGGAAGAAATG
Source organism: Homo sapiens (assembly GCF_000001405.40). Lineage (NCBI taxonomy): Eukaryota > Metazoa > Chordata > Mammalia > Primates > Hominidae > Homo > Homo sapiens. The sequence continues at coordinate 38,287,751 of NC_000014.9, forward strand.
GGAAAAATAGACCCCCACTTTCACCAGTATGCGAAAATTTAATTATAGTCAAAGAAAATTTGGTATACGTGCACAATGAAATACTATTCAACCATTAAAAAGAATGAAATCCTGTCATTTGTGCCCACATGGATAGAACTGAAGGACATTGTGTTAAATGAAATAAGCCAGGAACACAAAGTTAAACACCACATGTTATCACTCATATGTGGAAGCTAAAAAAGTTGATGTCATAGAAGTAAAAAGCAGAACAGAGGGTACTAGAGGCTGGGCAGGGTAGGGGGAAGGGAGGGCTAGGGAGAGATTTGTTAAAGAATGCAAAATTACAGCTAGATAGGAGGAATAAAGTATAGTGTTCTCTACCACTGTAGGATGATTTTAATTAGCAATAATATATAGTTTCAAATAGCAGATGGAGGATATTGAATGTTCCCAACACAAAGAAATGATAAGTGTTTGAGATTATGGATGTGCTAATAACCTGGATCTGAGCACTATACATTATACGCATTAAAATGTCACTATGTACCCATGAATATGTACAATTATCATTTGTCAAATTAAAAAATAAATTAGTCAATAACCACACAATGGAGGCTCTTATGGTAAACATTACCCATTTTTAAGTATTTTTCTAATAATTATATTCGAAAGTATTTAAAAAAGTATAAACACAAGTTACATCCTGTATCCTGGAATATCTGGTTAAATATACATTAAAACTCCTTTAATTTGCACTTTGTCTTGCTTTTGCAAAATGGGAGGCAGTGTAACATGCCCTTGTGAAAAAAGGAAGTAAATATTTGATGTGAAAAGAAAACAATTTTTAACCTAATAATAAAGAATAATAAATATTTTTAGATATAATTTTGGTAGGGTCATGTATATTCAAAGTATAAATATGTAAATCACATAAACTATTACTAATAGCATACTCTTTCCTAGAGTCACTGAATTGATCAAACCAAATAATTTCTGAAAGCATCACTGATCTGGTTTGATAAGGTAACATGGGGTGGGTAAGTAGGGCAATGGGAAATGTTATTTGGTATTAAAATTTCAAATAACTGAAAATCTGGATGATATATGAGAACCACATCTTTTCCCTTTAAATTTGTTTTCTATTTCATCAGGTTGTACAGGCACAGACTTAAAGTCAAAAACTGTAACTAGGCTTGTTACTAAACCGGTACTCCCCAACTTGCTCTCCAGTTACATCTTTGTATTTCCATATTGACTTCTACATCTTTAAGTAACATGTTTACATTTTAACCTCTTGATTTTCCAATTTTAGACTTAGAAAAATGAAGACTAACTCCTTTTCAGTTACCACCTACTACATACATGCACCACCTCCCTGACTCTTGTGTCCCAGTAGAGTTCTACTTTTGATTTTAGAATCATTTCAGATTTTCAGAAAACTTGCAAGGATGGTACAGAGAAGTCATATGTACCTTGCACCCAGTTTTCCACATGTTAAACCTCCCCTTAGCTCATTAGGTATACTGGTGTTCTGTTCTTTCCTTCTCAGAGAGGCCTCTTAAAGCCTCATAATCTGCTCCAATATAGATGGATTAATCTCAGAGCCTACTAGAGCTCTGTAGTCTTGGAACCTTCATTCATATTTGTGTTCTCTTGCTTCCTGGACACACACACATACACACACTCTCTCTCTTTCCCTCTTTGTTTACTCCCTCATTTTCATGGAGCACATCCTCTAGAAAGACCTTGCATGTCTTAAAATGACTTTATTTTACTCTCATATTTAGTTGATATTTGTTTGGGTATGAAATTTCAGGAAAAAAACCCCACAAATGTCCTTAGTATTTTGAGGCATTATTCAATTGATTCTAACCTTCATTTGTTGTCCTCGTGATATCCAAGCCATTCTTAATTCTTCTTACAAAACCTACTTTTTCTTCCTTGATACTTTTAGAATCTTGTGTCCAACTTTATCTTCCAACTATTTATTGAGTCTTTTAAAAATTCTTACCTTATTTTTAATTTCTAATGCCTCTATTCTTTGAATGCTATAGGAAGTTTGTCAGCAAACTTTAGAAAATTAAAAGCAATGAACTAAACAGTTTATTGAAAGCTCTGTGTGTGCAAGCATGTGGCTTATTGTCTAAGGGCTTTTCTGTAGAGTGGCCTGTATGATAGAAACTCCACTGTCAGTAATTTTTGCTCTTTTCTCTTGACTAGTTAGACTAGTTAGAGTCCTCAGTGAATGTGCTTCTAATCTCCTACCTGGGAGACAAAAGCCTGGCTGCTCACCCACTATGTTACTGTATAGTCTTTCAGTACAGAGAGAGTGTATTTTATATTCTGGAGATGTTAAAACTCCCAGGGCAAGGAAGAAACTGTTGTCTAGCTGCACAAGAAAGTAGAGAGAATCTGAAAACCAAACTCTTTTTTAAAAAGACTTTCGGCTGTAATTTAATTTTTAGCCTGTATCTCTCCCGCTCCCATCTGCAGGGGTTACTGGTATCATTAATGTGGATCCTTTTTGAGTTCTTTGGTATAAAATTAAGTTGCTTTTCAGATGCTCACTGCTAATTTAGTATTTAGCTTTCTAGTCCATCTGCTTTCCAGTTTCCAAAAATTTATCATGATTGTGTTCTCTCCTATTATCTTTGTCCTTGCTATGCTATCTAAAAAAATCCTTTTATTGTTGTCTTACTGGGGTTTAAATGAGGAATGGAAGCTAATGCATATGTTCAACCTACCATTTTAACAAATGTAACCCTGTTATTATTAATCCAATTACAGCCGATATGTTAGATAGGGAAAAAATTCATATCTTCATAGCCATTTCCTCTCATTTGAAGGGAGATCAGGGCAAAAATTAGAATATATGCATAATATTTAATAATTTTAGGTTTGTCTAAGACCCCAAACCGGATAATTCTAAGTCCATAAATCTTTCCTAACTGTTTAAATTCCAATTTATTTCAGCGTCATGAGTCATTAAAGCAGAGAGTTCGTGAGAGAGGAAAGCAGTTGGCTCATGTTCCAAAACAACTCTGAGTGTTTACTGGACTTCAGGAAGCTTATCTTGGTACACTCAGATCAAAGCTATTCACACAATGACTGAATAAACACATTGGCTAATGATGATGGCAAAGATTCTGATACGATACTAAGGAAAATACAAATACTAGGACAAGAAAACTTTGAAAAGCATTAAGAATTTAATTGGGAAGTAAACCTTTTCACTTCATGGGAACGAGTGTGCTAAGTCATCAATCTAAGCATGTGCTGGTGTGAATTGCATAACTGCAACTCTTATTAGACAATTATTATTTGAATACTTATTCTGGTATATTCTCCTAGGCTATCATATCACTTTTAAATAATACATTTAAAATTATTGCAGTAAATATGTATTTATGACACAAGATTGTAATTGTCATTGGCATTAAGTTAGTCAGTGTCTAGATTGTTTCTTTAGATTCTTTATATCAAAACAACGTGTTAACAATGGGATGAAAGAAAGTAGCTTCCAGTTTCTGAATTGGAGATTTTTCTTTGCAGGATTTTTAATGCTATTGTTCTTTTTTAAAAAGTGGAAGTATGTCTCATCTTAGAATAATTATGCTGTGCTCTAGATGTTTGTCCTTGGGAAAACTGAACTTACAGGTAGGGATTAAAATAGAAGCAACTTCCTAGAAGGGCAATTTTTAAAGTGCTTCCAAAGAGTTAATATCCTCTAATTTTTTATTTCAAGACCTTTTTTCTTGCCTCAGATGAGAACCTTTCTAAATGCATTCTACAAAAGATTTTATACTTTTTGGTATAGGAATCTAACATCAGAAAACTCCCAAATGAAGCTGTACTTCCCTTCACCATTTTTGAAGTGCAAATCTGCACTTTGATATTTTTCTGCCGATGAGAAACAAAAAAGTGGGGGTGGGCACATTAAAGATAGCTTTTATGTCAAATGTTAGGTGGAAGGTCTCTTGGAAATCATGAGTCAGATAACTGATTCAGGGGGAGAAATCAGGACTCTCTGTGCCCTTGCAGATCACACTGATGTTAGTAACTTTGAGTCCATTATCTTGGAATCTGCTCTGATACCTTCTGCAAATGGCCACTGAAGTATTTTGATAAATGGGATTTTTCTTGTCTATTTTTAAGTGGTGGTGAAGAGAAATGTTAAATTGCCATAGAGACTGACTATGGGGTGGAGCCCCAGATATAATGCATGTAGCTGCCAAATTTGGAGGTATCTTTTATTAAAGGAAATTATTTGAAGAAACATTCAGATGATTCTAGCCATACTGAGTCACCCTAATCACTGAATCTTCCTAGCTGAGGCCTCAGACATTGTAGAAGAGAGACAAGGATTTCTGAAAAAAAAAAAAAAAATCATCACTGTTTAAGCCACTAAAATTGAAGTAATTTGTTGCACAGCAGTAGCAACTGGAGTAACTGCTTATATTATTTTTCCTTCTAGTAGCTCTGTCACTGTCTTCCCCAAACAAGGCTGAAGCTGTGCTGCATATTCTTACCTAGCCTAGGAAGTCATAAAACATCACTCTGCTTCATTCTGTTGGATACTGATGAGTCAAAACTTGCCATTTTCAAAGGAAAAGAATGCAGACACCTCTTAAAAGAGCAGGTGAGATGGGAAATGCATTGTGGCTATCTTTGGAAAATACAATCTGTCACCTGAATCATTAACTAGATCATGGCACATCCAAATGTTGGAATATAAGAAACTGAGGAAACCTGCTTAAAAAGTACTTAATGATAAGGGTTGTTTCTGTTGCAATTTTAAGTAACATGGGATATAAATATAACGGTGTTTTAAAGGTGGAATTAAATGGAATAAGAGAAGATAAGGATCCAGTACTATTCCTCAGTAAATATGAATATTCACAAAAATCATAAGTGAATAAATGTCTGCAATAGTATAATATGTCAAATAAGCATGAGAATAAAATATGAAAGCTGAATAGATTAGTACTAATTAAAAACATTTAAATAATATTTAAAGATTTTGCCAAAACCTAAAATATAATAAATGAAAAGATATGCTTAACCAAGCCAGTTAAAAAAATTATTTCTATTTCAACAGTTTTTGGAGTACAGGTGGTTTTTGGTTACATGGGTAAGTTCTTCAGTGGTGATATCTGAGATTTTGGTGCACCTGTCACCTGAACAGTGTATACTGTACCCAATATGTAATCTATTATCCCTCACCTCTCTCCCCGTCTCCATCATTGAGTCCCAAAAGTCCATTATATCATTCTTATGCCTTTGCATCTACATAGCTTAGCTCTTGCTTATAAGTGAGAACATATGATATTTGGTTTTTCATTCTGAGTTACTTCATTTAGAATAATGGCCTCCACCTCCATCCAAGTTGCTGCAAAAGACATTATATCATTCCTTTTTATGGCTGAGTAGTATTCCATGGTGTATACATATCACATATTCTTTATCCACTCATTGATTGATGGGCACATAGGTTGGTTCCATATCTTTGCAATTGTGAATTGTGCTGTTATAAATGCACGTGCATGTATCTTTTTCATATAATAACTTATTTTCCTTTGGGAAGATACTTAGTAATGGGATTGCTGGATTGAATGGTAGTTCTACCGTTAGTTCTTTAAGGAATCTCCATACTATTTTCCATTGTGGTTGTTCTAATTTACATTCCCACCAGCAGTGTAAAAGTGTTCCTTTTTCACCACATCCATGCTGACATCTATTGTTTTTTGACTTTTTAATTATGGCCACTCTTGGAAGAATAAGGTGGTATCTCATTGTGGTTTTAATTTGCATTTTCTTGATGATTAGTGATGTTGAGCATTTTTTCATAGGTTTGTTGGCTGTTTGTATATCTTCTTTTGAGAAATGTCTATTCATGTCCTTTGCCTACTTTTTGATGGGATTATTTGTTTTTTTCTTGATATTTGTTTGAGTTCCTTGTAGATTCTGGACACTAGTCCTTTGTTGGATGTATAGTTTGTGAATATTTTCTTCAACTCTGTGGCTTGTCTGTTTACTTTGCTGATTATTTCTTTTGTTGTGTAGAAGCTTTTTAGTTTAATTAGGTCCCATCTATTTATTTTTGTTTTTGTTGTGTTTGTCTTGGTGTCTTAGTCATAAATTCTTTACCTAAGCCAATGTCCAGGAGAGTTTTTCTGATGTTATCTTCTCCAATTTTTATGATTTCATGTCTTAGATTTAAGTCTTTGATCCATCTTGAGTTGATTTTTGTATAAAGGGAGAGATGGGGATACAATTTTATTCTCCTACATGTGGTCTCCCAGTTTTCCCAGCACAATTTATTGAATTTTCTCCAATTTATGTTTTTGTAGGCTTTGTTGAAGATCAGTTGGCTGTAAGTATTTGGCTTTATTTCTGGGTTCTCTATTCTGTTCCATTGGTCTACATGCCTTTTTCTTTTTATACAAGTACCATGCTCTTTTGGTAACTATAGCCTTGTAGTACAATTTGAAGTCAGGTAATGGGATGCCCCCAGCTTTGTTCTTTTTGCTTAGTATTGCTCTGGTTATGTGGGCTGTGTTTTGGTTTCATATGAATTTTAGGATTTTTTTTCTAGTTCTGTGAAGGATGATGATGGTATTTTGATGGGAATTTCATTGAATCTGTAAATTGCTTTGGGCAGTATGGTCATTTTTACAATACTGATTCTTCCTACTCAAGAGCATAGAATGTGTTTCCATTTGTTTGTGTCATCTATGATTTCTTTCAAAAGTGTTTTGCAGTTTTCCTTGCAGAGATCTTTCACCTCTTTTATAACCAAGAAACTTTTACAGGCGATTTCCATCAAACACTCCAGGAACAGATAATCCCTGTATTTTACAGTTGCTTCAAATTTTTTTAAAAAAGCTATTTGAGCATTTTATGAGGCCAGTATAACTTTGACTTTCAAACTAGATGAGTATAGTACAAAAAGAAAAATAAATCCAGATGTCTAATTCATTAACACAATGAAAAATTCTAAATAATTAGTTAACTGAATGTAACAGAATTTTTAAAATACACACTGTAATTATTAGAGATTATTTCAGGAATGCAAGGGTGATTCAAAATTAAGAAAATTTATCAATGTCACTTATCAAATATATATCAATTAATGCAGAAAAGGCTTTTGATGTAGTTTAATATTTCACTGAGACAAAAATTCAAAATCAAGGAATTGAGTTAAACTTCCTTAACTCAATAAAACCTCTACACCAAGCCTACAACAAATTTTACAACTAACAATAAAAAATAGACACATTTCTTCTAAGTTAGAGAACAAGACAAGGGAGTCTGCCGTCTTCACAAAGCTTCAACATGGTATAGTCAGGACATCCAGGTTAATTCAGCAGGAGAACAAAGAAGGAAGACATAAAAATTTGAAAGAAAATGACAAAACCATCATCATTTGCAAATATTTAATTATCCACATAGAAAACCAACAAAATCAATAATAGAGTTAATAAGAGTTTAGCAAGTTTACTAACAAAATATTTTCTTATTAAAATCTACCATATTTCTATCAATAATAACCAACTGCAAATTAAAATAGAAAATAAAAATAATATTCACAGCAGCAACAAACACTATAAAGATTTTAGAGAGTAACATGAAGAATACATAAGACCTTTATGGAGAACATTTTAAAACTTTATTAAAGAATACACAAAACAAAATGTGAATAAGTGGAGAGGTAAATTATGCTTATGAATAAGATAACTTATTTTAAAGATAAGCCTGTAATTTCAATGTAATTTTAATTAACATTTCATAAGGATTGTTGGAGAATCCTGAAAAGTAATAAAATATATTTATAAGAATAAACATTGGGCCGGGCGTGGTGACTCACACCTGTAATCCCAGCACTTTGGGAGGCCTAAGCGGGTGGATTACGAGGTCAGGAGTTAAAGACCAGCCTGGCCAAGATGGTGAAACCTCGTCTCTACTGAAAAACTACAAAAATTAGCTGGGCGTGGTGGCAGGTGCCTGTAATCCCAGCTATTCTGGAGGCTGAGGCAGGAGAATTGCTTGAACCCGGGCGGCAGAGGTTGCAGTGAGCCGAGATCGCCCACTGCACTCCAGCCTGGGAAACAGAGTGAGACTCCGTCTCAAATAAATAAATAATGAATAACTAACAAAACATTTTTAATTAAAGAGCAAAGAGGAAGGTAAAATTGCTACATAATTAGAGAAATAAAATGATGTGCTACTGGATAAAAAATAAGCAAATAAAATAGCAGAAATAAATAAAAGAAGGGACCTGCACAGGTATGTCACTCTACTCTGCTATAGTTTGTAGAGTACAATTAACTCTGTGTATCTGAAATACAGGAAAATACAAAGAAAAAGAAATTACACAATGTACAAAACATCTTACACATATGAATACCAAAGGAAAAATGTGGATAAAAGATAAAAGAAAAACTATTTGCTGTTTTTCATTGAAAAGAAAACATGAGGCAGGGTGAACAGGTATAAAGGCATGGCTGGGTGAAACAGTGTGGTATGTTTGGGGAAGTGCTAGTGATTTAGAGTGGCTGGAGCTTGGGATGCATACCTGGGTAGGTGGTGGAGATGAGGCTGATGAAGTCTAGAGAGCTCAGATCGAGAATACCTTGTGTTTTAAAGTAAGGAGTTAAAAAATGTAGGGAGGCCATTGAAATCTATGAATAGGAAGAATGACAGACTGCATTTGACATACTCAGTACCATAGAGATTGGATTGGAAAGGCTGAAGCAAGGAAGACAGGAGACTACTGCAAGGTGTTTAATTTGATGTGGTAGCCAAGGGAGCAAAAGAAGTCAAAAATGTGACTTTGAGATTCTGAGTGAAGTACACAGTGATTTCATTAAACAAGATAGAGAAGATGGTGGTGCAGACAAGATTCCCCAGATCCCAAGAGTCAGTGTGTAAAATCATGCTTTATGGATAAGACCAGTTAGATATACGCTAAATGTAATATACAATCATCTTTGCTTAACCATGAGAATATGGTCTGAGGAATCTGTCAGGTGATTTCATGGCTGTGCAAACATTGTGACTGTGCAAACTTACACAAACCTAGATGGTATAGCTTGTTTCACACCTAGGCTATGTGCTATAGCCTATTGTTCCTAGGCTACCAACCTGTACAGCATGCTACTGTAATGAACACTGTAGGCAACTGTAACACAATGAGAAGTATTTGTGTATGTCAACATTTCTAAACCTAGAAAAGGTACAGTAAAAATACTGTATTATAATCTTATGGGACTACTGCCATATATGTGGTCCGTCATTGACTGAAACATCCTTAAGGGGTGCATGACTATATTCTGAAACAAAGGCAAGAAGTATAAAATCAGGCTATATTAGCATATATATAACTGCTATGGCTATATATATATGTATGTATATGTGTATGTATACATATATGCTATATATATATGCTATACATAGCTATATATATATATATATATATATATATATATATATATATAGCCATAGCAGTTATAGCATATATAGCATGGCCATAGCAGTTATAGCATATATAGCATAGCATATATAGCATGGTTATATATAGCATATATATAACAAATAACTCCTTGTTTCTATCTGAAACATGATAAACTTAGATAACTTGTCAGAAGGTAGAGGTTGTAGCATGTATTCAGTACTTTTCATTGATAAAAGAGATAAAATAGGTCAACAGCAATTAGTATGTTAATAAGGAAGAAGCCCCTCGAGTGGGGGAAGATGTTTATGATTTCTCCTTGGTCTGGGTATAATATTTCTGTGAGGTCAGAGCCCTGCTTGAATAGCTACCACTTTGTTCTACTTCTGCTTATCATACAGCTTCTCTTATCGATTGCTTCAGGGGTGAGTGCAGAGACACAGAGATAATTGGTTTTGCAGATATATTGATGTGTGTAAAAAATTTTGTATATTTTCTGTAAAATAGAAAACTGGCAATTTAATTAATGTCTCTTGTAAACATATTAGGGTCATTAGGTTTCCCTGTATATAGTTGACTTTGGAGCACTAGACAAGATCAGGTTCATGGATGTAAAAAGCTAAGGCCTGGTCCCACATCATGATACATTCACCAAATTTCATCCAGGGAGATTTCTAGGCAGCCAGCCATTTGGCTTTTCTCCAGCCAGTTGAGATGTATGTGAGACAGTTAAATGGAAATGTTTAAAAATGTTGGAATTGGAGTGAATCTGGGCTGACGAAAGAGAACTTGAAGAACTGGTGTTAGATGCTGTTTTAGGAGGGAGTGAGATTTCCCCAGGAGGAGTATGCAAATTAAAAAGAAAAGCAGGTTATTACTTGAACTAGCACAACCCTTACATAAAAGGATAAGGGGAGTCAAAGCAATCAGACAATTTTCCTTTTCCAAAATACTTATCAGGAAGTCAACAACTGAGGCAAAGATTTTAAGTGTTTAGGATTTAAGTGAGGTTGTTGTTAGCAACAAGAAAGGAAAAGACAAGATGACAGTGAGGCAGATTGGAAAAAAGAAACAAAAATATTATCTGATGCAACGTGGAATAACCAGGAAGAGGATGGCAACAGAGTTATAGCTGAGATTTCTGAACTGAGACACTGGCAATTCAAATGAGACAGTAAAAGAACATTACAGAATATTTAGTTTTGATAGAAGAGCAAGAATTTGTTTGGAGGGATATCAAATATAACCCTAATAAGACATCAAGGTGAGGTTTTGAGCAGCCATATTATTTTAGTACCTTTGTATTTATTCGTTGTTTATTCCCTTACAGGTAGTTAGAATGCAACACTGGAAGAATGTGAGTTTGAGACTAGAAAGAAAAATTGAGGTAGCATTCATATGGCAACTTCATATGACTTGATGTGAGTAAAAGAGATTTCTGCTGGAGGATGGGGAAGTGGTCTGCATGAGACAAAAGCTAAAATTATAACTTTGGGGAACTTTTGGAGGCTGAGGTCAGAGAAATCTAAGGAGTTTCTAGTGCAGAGTCCTAGAAATAAAAGGTGAAGAGATTTTTGGTGCCTGATCCCTCGTGTAAGAAACATAAAAGTCTTCACTACATCCTAACAGTAAGTAAAAAGCTGAACAAACTGAAACATCAGCAACTCTTCTTAGATTCATCAGAGAAGTGAGGTCACAGGGCAAACCACTGCACCCCAAAATTGGAGAGACAGACAGGTGAATACTGAGACTCACAACTTAAGGGAGCAGAAATCCATGAGCAAAATCCTCTGTGGGAACTAGTGCCAGGGAAGGCAAACCCAAATTGTAATTGATGACTTGCCGATTGCTGTACGCTCAGTGTGGACAAGCCTAAGAGATGAAAACTCCAGGGGGACCCAGCTTGGGGTAGAGAGGACTCATACTTTTGTGAACTTTATCTCCAGAGGCTATACCAGGTTCTAAAAATGCATATCAGAGAAAAATACCCTCCAGGAGAGGACAGATAGGGAATTGGGAGAAAGTGATCATTTTCTTTTTCTTTTTTCTTTCTTTTTTTTGAGACCGAGTCTCGCTCTGTCGCCCAGGCTGGAGGGCAGTGGTGCGATCTCGGCTCACTGCAAGCTCCGCCTCCTGGGTTCACGGCATTCTCCTGCTTCAGCCTCCCGAGTAGCTGGAACTACAGGCGCCCGCGCCTACACCCAGCTAATTTTTTGTATTTTTAGTAGAGACGGGGTTTCACCGTATTAGCCAGGATGGTCTCGATCTCCTGACCTCGTGATCGCCCGCCTCGGCCTCCCAAAGTGCTGGGATTGCAGGCGTGAGCCACCGCGCCCAGCCCAAAAGTGACCATTTTCAAATATACCAGAGCATTCTGTTCTTAACAAGACCTGACCTCAAGATGATTTTTTTTTTATCCTAACTGACTTGGGGGGAAGAAAAATAGCCAACTCCCATCCCTTCTATCCTGAACTACCTACGGTGCTGAAAAAAAAATACCAATCTGAGAAGCACTTGTGAAGCTCACAATTCAGTAGCACAAGCTCTGTAAATAACTGAAACCTAATCATGTAATCATACAACACTTCTCTTCCTTCTACATCTCGCCACCACATTACTAAAAGTCTATTTACCAGAGTTCCTTCTACACAGTACATCTTGTCCACCTTTCAACAGCACCAAAAAAATGCAAGGCACACTAAAAGGCAAAAAGCACAGTTTGAGCAGTCATTGCGAGCATCAGAACGAGACCCAGATACAGCAGGGATGTTGGAATCATCAGAGCATAAATTTTAAAAATAATTATGATTAATAAGCTAAGGGCTGTAATGAGAAAAGTAGACAACGTGCAAGAACAGATGAATAATATAAATAGAAAATAGAACTTCTTAGATAGAAGCGAAAATAAATGCTAGAGATAAAAAACACTGTAATTGAAATGAAGAGACCTTTGATGGGCTTATTAGTAGATTGGACATGGCTGAGAAAAGAATCTCTGAGCTCGAGGATGTGACGATAGAAACTTCTAAAACTGAAAATTAAAAAAAAAAATTGAAAAAAGTAGAACACATATCCAAGAACTGTAAAACAACTACAAAAGATGTAATATCCATGTAATGGGAAAACCAGAAGGAAAAGAAATAAAAGGAAACAGAAGAAATATTTGAAGCAATAATGACTGAGAATTTCCTCCTGAAATGACACCAAACTACAGATCTAGGAAGCTCAGAGAACATCAGGCAGAATAAATGCCCAAAACACTACACATAGGAATATTATATTCAAACTACAAAAAAATCAAAGATAGTGAAAAAATCCTAAGAGAAGTTAGAAGAATACGAAACCTTAGTTATAGAAGAGCAAAGATAAGAATTATATCTGACTGCTCCTTAAAAACCATGCAAATAGGAAGAAAGTGGAGTAAAATATTTAAGATTTTGAGAGAAAATAAGCACCAACCTAGAATTCTAAGGTTTGCAAAATTATTCTTCAAAAGTAAAGGGAAAAGTCCACCTCAGAGAGAAGGAATATGTTGCCAGTAAAGCTGTCTTGCAAGAAATCTTAAAATAAGTTTTCTAAAAGAAGGAAACTGATATTGTTCAAAAACTTAGAACTGTATAAGGAAAGGAAAAACATCAGACAATGAATAAGTAGAGGCAAAACTAAAATACTTTTCTCATTCTTAATTGATGTAATGGATAACAGTTTGTTCTAAATAATAGCAATAATGCATTTGATAATTACATTGTATATATAAGTGAAATGAATGACATCAATGATGTAAAAGACATGAGGAGGAATTAGGGATATTTTGTTTTAATAAAGTACTTGCACTGCCTGTGAAGTGGTATAGTGTTATTTGACAGCAGACTTTTGTTAGCTGTAAAGGTGTGTTGCAAACTCTAGGACAACCGCTAAAAAAAAGTAACAAAAGAAATATTATTGATGTGCTAAGAAAGAAGAGAAAATGGAATCATATAAAATGTTCAGTTTAAATCACAAAAGGCAGAAGAAGAGTAGAACATAAAAAAAGGGGGAAAAGGACAAAGACAATAACTAGAAAATGATAGCAAATATGGTAGATATTAATCCAGCTATATCAATAATAGTAGTCTAAATACACTAATCAAGACAGGAGAGAGAGCCAAGATGGCTGACTAGACACAGCCAGAAGGAACAACTCTTACCAAAAGACCAGGACATCAGGACGACTGGCACACTTTGAGCAGATCTTCAGAGGGAAAACACTGAGAGTGGACCAAGGGAGGACACAGACATTGGACTGATGGGAGAGGAAGCTGGGAACGCTGGGGCTGCAAAGCACTGGGACCTACTGCAGGCCTCCAGTGACTCCTGGGGAAGGAGTGAGTTGAACAGGTGAGGAGTGGCTCACTCTCACCACAGACCTCTGGAATCCTAGCTGCAGAAAGCCCACCATCCACATGGACACTGGAGCTGGCAGGGAGAGCTGTTTAGAGAGATGGCAGGGGCAGGACTCCAGCCTGTGTGGAACCTATAGGGTTTGGTGCAGGAAGGTCTGCAATGGAGCATGGCCAAGAATGCTCAACCCCCAACGCTCTCCAAGCTCCTCTAGGTGTCCCTAGCCTTTGAGTGACTGTTGAACCTGGACAGAGCAAGAACATCTTGTCTATGAAATGGGGTTCCCTGTTTCCTAGCCTCTCCTGGACAACCAGCCTACCCACCCCCAATTACAGCACTGCCTTGGATGCACAACCAGGGTGATTCTCAGGTGCCCTCATCATAGCTCCTTTGCTGGTACCATCCCTGACCATTGGAGAGCTCCAGCTTCTCTGACTCATACACGTCCTGCCCCCACTACAGCCTCCCCTTGGGTCTTTGCCACATGCACTCACCCATGGTCTTCTCCCACTGCTTTGCAAGTGCATTCATGTAACCAAACCTCACTATCACATCCCCAATGGTATGCATGTGTGTGCACACCTCACCACTTCACCAACCATCAGAGCAAGTTCATCCTGCCACCCCACCCACCCTTGCTGGCAGTCCACCCCTACTGAGGTGTGGGCAGCCCACTGCACTGCTTCCACTGCTGCTGCTGGAGTAAGTGCTTGCACAGGTGCTGGAAACTCACCCCTGCTAGCACCCTGCCCAACTGACACCCTACCCCCTGCCAGTGCCCCAGAGTTAGAGCACACAGCTGAACAGCGCTGAGTTGAGCCTTGGTCTCCCGAAATCTTCCAGAATTGAAGATAGTCTACTAAACCCACCTGATATCACAGTCAAACTCTCAAGGGCACTAAAAATAAAAGTTAAAAAAAAAATCCAAAGGACAGCAACTTCAAAGATAAAAGGACCATCAGCCCACACAGATCAGAAAGGTCAGCACAAGAACTCTGGCAACTCAAAAAGCTAGGGTGTTTTCTTGAGTCCAAATGATTTCACTAGCTCCCCAGCAATAGTTCTTAACCAGGCCAAAATGATAGACATAGAATTTAGAATATGGATAGAAACAAAGATCATCAAGATTCAGGAGAAAGTTGAAACTGAATCCAAGAAATCTAAGGAATAAATAAAACAATATTTGAAGATATTGTCCACAAAAATTTCCCCAACCTCAAGAGAGCAGCCAATGTTCAAATTCAGGAAATGCAGAGAACCCCTCCAAGATGCTATACAAGGTGACCATCCCCAAGAAACAAAGCCCTCAGATTCTCCAATGTTCATATGAAAGAATAAATATTAAAGACAACTAGAGAGAAAGGGCAAGTCACCTACACAGGGAACTCCATCAGGCTAACAGCAGACCTTCCAGCAGAAAACTTACAAGTGAGTAGAGATTGGGGTCCATATTCAGCACTCTTAAAGAAAACAAACTCCAATGAAGAATTTCATATCTGGCCAAACTAAGCTTCATAAGCAAAGAAGAAATAAGATCCTTTTCAGGCAAGCAAATGCTAGGGTAATGTGTTACCACAAGATCTGCCTTACAAGAGGTCATTAAGGGAGTGCTAAATATGGAAACAAAAAACCATCACTAGCAACCACAAAAACACACTTAAGTACATAGATCATTGACAATATGAAGCAACTACACAATTAAGTCTACATCGTAACCAGTAACACCACAATAACAGGATCAAATCCACATGTATCAATATTAACCTTCAATGTAAATGGGCTAAGTGCCCTAATTAAAAGGCACAGAGTGACAAGTTCGATAAAGAAGCAAGACCCAACTGTATGCTGTCTTCAAGAGATTAATCTCACATTCAATGACACTCATAGGGTTAAAGTAAAGAAATGGAAAAAAATCTACCAAGCAAACAGACAACAACAAAAATCAGGGGTTGCTATTCTAATTTCAGACAAAACAAGACTTTAAACCAACAATGATCAAAAAGATAAGAGCATTACAGAATGGCAAAGGGTTCAACTCAACAGGAACTCTTAACTATCCTAAATATATATACACCCAACACAGGAGCATCCAGATTTATAAAACAAGTTCTTAGAGATTTAAAAGAGCCTTAGATAACCACATGATAATAGTGGGAGACTTCAACACCCCCATGGCAGTATTAGATAGATCACTGAGGCAGAGAAACAACAAAGACATTTGGGACCTAAACTTGACACTTGACCAAATGGACCTAAAAGACATCTACAGAACTCTCCAACCAAAACCAACAGAATATATATTATTCTCATCTGCACATGGCACATACTGTAAAATCAACCACACAATTGGCCATAAAACTATTTTCTGCAAATTAAAAAAAAATGAAATTATACCAACAACACTCTTAGATCACAGTGTAATAAAAATAGAAACCAATGCTAAGAATATCACCCAAAGCCATACAATAACATGGAAATTAAACAACCTGTTCCTGAATGACTTCTGGGTAAATAATGAAATTAAGGCAGAAAGCAAGAAATTCTCTGAAACTAATGAGAACAAAGATACAACATGCCAGAATCTGTGGGACACAGCTAAAGTAGTGTTAAGAGGAAAGTTTATAGCATTAAATGCCCACATCAAAAAAGTAGAAAGATCTCAAATTCACAGCCTAACACCACACCTTGCCTTACAAGAGGTCTTTAAGGGAGTGTTAAATATGAAAAAAAACCATCACTAGCAACCACAAAAACACACTTAAGTACATAGATCATTGAAGAAATCAAGAAAAACAAGAGCAAACTAACCCCAAAGCTAGCAGAAGACAAAAAATAACAAAAATCAGAACTTAACTAAATGAAATTAAGATGTGAAAAGCCATACAAAAGATCAATGAAACCATAAGTTGGTTATTGAAAGAAAAAATTACATTTATAGACTGCTAGCTAGACTAAAAAGAAAAAAGAGAGAAGACCCAAATAAATGCAATCAGAAATGAAAAAGGCGACATTACTACTGACCCCACAAAAATACAAGAAACCTCAGAAGCTGTTACAAACACCTCTATACACAGAAACTAGAAAACCTACAAGAAATTGATAAATTCCTAGAAATATACAGCCTTCCAAGATTGAACCAAGAAGAAATTGAAACCTGAACACACCAATAATGAGTTCCAAGATCGAATCAGTAATAAAAATCCTACCAACCAGAAAAAGCCCAGGATCTGACAGTTTCCAGCCAAATTCTACCAGACATATAAAGAAGAGCTGCCACAGTTTCTGCTGAAACTATTCCCAAAAATTGAGGTAGAGAGCCTCCTTCTCAACTCATCCTATGAGGCCAGCATTATTCTGACACCCAATAGTGGCAGAGACACAACAAAGAAAGAAATCTTCAAGCCAATATCCCTAATGAACATAGATGCAAAAATCCTCAATATGAAAATCAATAACTGTGATTCATCACATAAACAGAAAGAAAAGCAAAAACCATATGATCATCTCAATTGATGAACAAAAGTCTTTAATAAAATTCAACATCTCTTCATGTTAAAAAGCCTCAACATACAAGAACTGAAGGAATATAGCTCAAAATAAGAGCCATCTATAACAAACCTACAGCCAACATCATACTGAATGGGAAAAAGCTGAAAGCATTTCCCTTGATGACCAGAACAAGACAAGGATGCCCACTCTCACCACTCCTATTTAACATAACACTGGAAGTTCTAGCCAGAGCAATCAGCCAAGAGAAAGAAATAAAAGGCATCCAAATAGGAAGAGAGGAAGTCCAACTCTCTCTGTTTGCAGACTATATGATTTTTTATCTAGAAAATCCCATACACTCTGCCCAAAAGCTTCTAGAGCTGATACACAACTTCAGTAAAGTTTCAGCATACAAAATCAATGTACAAACATCAGTAGCATTTCTATAGATCAACAACATCCAAGCTGAGTGCCAAATCAAGAAAGCAATTCCATTCACAATAGCCATAAAAGTAAATACCTTAGAATATAGCTAACCAGGGAGTTGAACAATCTCTGCAACGAGAATTACAAAACACTGCTGAATGAAATCAGGCATGAAACAAACAAATGGAAAAACATTCCATGCTCATGGATAGGAAGCAAGATGTTGTTAAAATGGCCATACTGCCCAAAGCAATTTGTAGATTCAATGCTATTCCTATCAAACTTCCAATGACATTCTTCACGGAAATAGAAAAAAACTATTCTAAAATTCACGTGGAACCAAAAAAGATCCTGAATAGCCAAATCGATGCTAAGTAAAAATAACAATGCTTAAGGCACACCACCTTACCCAGCTTCAAACTATACTACAAGGCTGCAGTAACCAAAACAGCATGGCACAGGTACAAAAACAGACACATATGCCAATAGAATAGAACAGAGAGCCCAGAAATAAAGCCCCACACCTAGAACCATCTGATCTTCAACAAAGCTGACAGAGCAAGCAATGGGGAAACGACTCCCTATTTAGTAAATGGTGCTGGAATAACTGGCTAGTGACATACGGAAGATTAAAACTGGACTCCTTCCTTTTACGATACTAACAAATCAGCTAAAGATGGATTAAAGACTAAAATGTAACACCTAAAACTATAAAAACCCCTGAAGAAAACCTAAGGAACACTATTCTGGACATAGGCCCTGGCTAAGATTTCATGACGAAGATGCCAAAAGCAATGAAACAAAAACAAAAATTTACAAATTGGATGTAACTAAGCTAAAGAGCTTCTGTATAGCGAAAGAAAATATCAACAGAGTAAACAGACAACCCACAGAAAGGGAGAAAATATTTGCAAACTATGCATCTGACAAAGGTTTAATATCCAGATTTATAAGAAACTTAAACAAATTAATAATAAAAATCCCCATTAAAAAGTAGGCAAAGGACATGAACAGACACTTCTCGAAAGAAGACATATACATGGTCCAGAAGCATATGAAAAAATGCTCAACATCACTAATCATTAGAGAAATGAAAATCAAAACCACAATGAGCATCTCACACCAGTCAGAATGGTTATTATTACAAGTCAAAAAATAACAGATGCTGGCAAGGTTGAAGAGAAAAGGGAACACTTACACACTCCTGGTGGGAATGTAAATTAGTTCATCCACTGTGGAAAGCAGTTTGGAGATTTCTCAAAGAACTTACAACTACCATTCAATCCAGCAATCCCATTACTGGGTGTATACCCAAAGGAATATAAATCATTCTACCACAAAGACACATGCACACATATGTTATTGCAGCACTATTCACAATAGCAAAGATATGGAATCAACCTAAATTCCCATCAATGGTAGACTGAATAAAGAAAACATGGTATATATACACCATGGAATGCTATGCAGTCATTAAAAATATGAGATCATGTCCTTCACAGCAACATGAATGAAGCTGGAGGCTGTTATCCTAAGCAAACTAACACAGGAACAGAAAATGAAATAGTGCACGTTCTCACTTATAAGTGGGAGCTAAACATTGTGTACACATGGACACAAAGAAGAGGGTAATCAACACTGGGGCCTACTTCAGGGTGAAGGGAGGGAGGAGGGTAAGGATTGAAAAACTATGAATTGCGTACTATGCTTATTACCTTGATGATGAAACAATCTATACATCAAACCGCTGCAAAATGCAATTTACCTGTATAACAAACCTGCACATGTACCCCTGAACCTAAAATAAAATTAATTTAAAAAAGACAAGATTGTCAGTGTGGATCAGAAAACAAGACCCAACTCTATGTTGTTTACGAGAAATCCACTTTAAATATAAAGACATATATGGATTAAAAGTAAATGAATAAAGAGATGTCATACTAACACTAATCAAAAGAAGAAAACAGGAGTAGTTATATTAATTTCAGACAGAGAAGACTTATGAGCAAGGAAATTATCAGAGATAAAAAAGGGCATTACATAATAATAAGTGGTCAGTTTTCCAAGAAGACAACACTCCTTAAAGTGTATATACCTAACAACAGACTGTCAAAATATGTGAGGCAAAAACTGATAGAATTGCAGGGAAAAATAGATGAATGCACTCTTATAGTTGGAAATTTTAACACTCCTCTATCAGAAATGGACAGACCCAGGAGTCAGAAAAATCCCTAAGGACATAGTTGAAATCAACAGCATCATGAATCTGCTGGACATCTATAAACTCCTTAATATATCAACAGCAGAATACACATTCTTCTCAAGCTTACATGGAACATCCACCAAGATAGTCCATATTCTGGGTCATGAAACATACCTTAAGAAATTTAAAAGAATAGAAATTATATAATGTATTATCTCAGGCTACAGTAAAATATATACTAGAAATCAATAACAGAAAGATAAGGAAAATTGCAAAGTATTTGGAGGGTAAACAAAACACTCCTAAATAACACATAGACCAAAGAAGAATAGAAATTTAAAAATACTTTTAACTAAATTGAAATGAAAATACAATTTATCAAAATTTGTGGGATGTAGCATTGAGTGCAGATATTACAAAAGGAGAAGAATCTAGAGATAATAATATAAGCCTCTGCCTTAGGAAGCGAGAAAGAACAAATTACACCAATGTAAACAGAAGAAAATATGTGATTAAAAAATAGAGCAGAAATCAATGAAATTGAAAACAGTAAATCAATCGACCAAATCAACAAAACTAAAAGCTGGCTTTGGGAAAGATATACGAAATGAATAAGCCCCTAACCAAGCTAAGAAAAAGAGAGGCTGTGTTATGTTAACTTTCATATCTAAGTGTATGATACATTTCAAAGCAATTTAGTATATATGCTAAGGTAGGGTTCAAGGTTAGTTTTCTCTATACAGATATTCCAGTTTATTCAGTATACTTACTGAAAAGACTATCATTTCCTCCACTGAATTTCGCTGTTGTCTTTGTCATAAATCAAAAGGTTCTATATGTTTGGATCTGTTTCTGGACTCTACTCTGTTCCATGGACCCATTTGTCTATTGTTGCACCTACATTCTGTCCTGGTTACTGTAGCTTTATGGCACCTGGCACAATATCTGGTACTATAAGTATCCAACTTTGTTATTCCTTAAGATTATTATAGTTATTCTACTTCATTTGTATTATATATTTTAGAATCAGCTAGCCAGGTTTTACAAAAACAGCTTCTTATAAATTTATTAATTAAAATATTAATAAACTAAAAAAAAATTAAAAATTTATTAAGCAGATGATTTTCTATGAGACAAGGGACAGAATGTTTCAGGTGTGAAAGTAATCATTTACATATTTTGTCATTCACTCTGCAAGCATTATTGAACAGCAATGATTGATGCAAGAATAGTTGAAGGAATTACTTTTCCCAGCCCCTAGCAAGAGAGAAAAATAAAACAAAAATTCTATTGTTCAGGATCTGATATAGTAATTTGACTTGTATCTTTTTAGTAAGTAGAGGAAATACAGCCCAGTCCTTTTTCAATTGTACAACAATTTTACACTTGCAAGATAAAATAGCACTGGACTTTTATTTTGCCTAATGGGACCTCAATCTCTAGGTTAAACTTCAAAAGCACCAATTTCAAAATGTCTAAGACATATTGAAGTATAATTTCATGCTTTAGTAATGTTCAAAAATTTCTAACTTGTCTTAACCCAATATTTTTTATAATAAAACAAAAATAAACCATTTACTTAAAATTTTCAATAATTCTAATATTTTGACCCTGAAATCATGTTGAAAATAGTTCCCAAGGCTAGAAAAGGAAATTTTATTTTAAAAAATTATCTTCGTTGACCCTCTTTTGACCAAGAGTTGTCGATTTGGGGGAAGGATAGGAGACAAATATGTTTCTGAACCACGTAAGACCGATGAGCTCCCCAGCGTGTTTCTTTCTGCATTCTGCATCTTCTCCATCCTTCTATGCATTTAATTTTGTGTTTCATCTGTTGCCTCATAGCCCTTCCTGCTGCTTCTCTTACTAGAATACTTTCTGCCACACATGGAGGAAATATTTTCCCTTAAGAACCTACCCTTCCTGGGTGCCGTGGCTCATGCCTGTAATCACAGCACTTTGGGGGGCCAAGGCCAGCAGATTGCTTGAGCCCAAGAGTTAGAGACCAGCCTAGGCAACATAGTGAGAACCCATCTCTAACAAGAAAAAGGTACGCCAGGCATGGTGGGGTCTCTGCCTGTAGTCCCAGCTACTCAGAAGGCTGAGGTGGGAGGACGGCTTGAGCCCAGGAAGCCAAGGTTGCATTCCACTTCATGCCAGCCTGGATGACAGAGAGAAACCCTGGATGACAGAGCAAAACCCTTCACACTAGCCTGGGTGACAAAGCAAAACAAACAAACAAACAAACAAACAAACAAACAAACAAAAAAACCCCCTACACTCTCTCCCACCCCACAGAGCCAAGAACTTAGGAAGCCAGTGTCATTGTGTGGGCGGGCTAAGCAATGTGGTTGTCAACAGCGAGAAGTTATGAACTCTTACCAGTATCACAGCAGTATCACAGTCCTATTTATCTAATCTCTGCTTTGTGAGAATGTGGAGGAGGTTGCTGAGGAAATGAGAGGCAGAGTTGGGAATGAGGGAGAGCTGAGGATGGGGAGGAAGAAAGAAAAAGAACAGTGCCCTGCTATCCTGGGCTTAGCTGCATGGCATCTTGAAGTGTGTCTAGCCTGGTTAAAATGCAAGAAATATACTTTTTGAAACCTAGCAGCAAAATAAATAGTGCTGTTTCTCTTAATGTGAAGTGTTAGTGATGTAGAAAAATTATAATTCTCAAAGCCTTCAGACGATAAAATGCAAAAGTCATTCAGTGATCCAAAGACCACACAGCATTAGCAAGTAACCAGATACCTAGTCTTGAAGAATAATAAAGCATCGTAAAATGGCTTGATAAATCAAGTTCTCAAGTTGCTGTGTTTTTCAAAATCCTTAATTGGGTATTAAAACTCAGTTTTACTTTCCTTGAATTGACGCTGAATTTTATCTTCAGGAAATAACCTGGAAGACCATTCTTCTTCATTTCCTCCTTTGAATAGATCAAGTTTCAAATCAGGGAAATGAAAAGAGAAGAAAAAAATGATGTATGAAGTCAAATGGAAGACTGAACTAAAAATAACTCTTCTAAAATACAAAACAATATGCTAAAATCAGCTAGAATGGGCTGAAAAATTAGACAAGGAGCAAAATCAAAGCACGAGTTTCATTGTTATGTTCTTTAAGAATGCAAAGTGCTTCTCAAGCACTGGGTATGAAAATGGGCAGATCTTAGTGCTCTCTAGTTAGAACTCTAAGAATAATGCCTTTTAATAATAATGCCTTGTCATAATATTGCTATACCACAGTATGGTTTTCCCATTTCCCTTAGACATTAAATATAAGGCTCATTTTGGTATACAGTTGGGAATATTATTAAGGCAAAAATGTTAGAAGCAAGTGTTAAACATTTGAACTCAGAAACTGCCTACTGCATGTCAAACATCAGTTTGGGTTACCTCCTTTACAAACAAGGCTGTTTCATGAACACTGAATAAGACAGCAAAGCAAATAGGATAAGGAGAAGAAATGAGGATTTCTTACACATAACAAAAGGGCACATTGCTGAATAAATTAAATGGAACTAAAAAAAGATAAAGATATCAGTGTTTTTAAAGCATAATGCTAAAAGGCATAAGTAAACAGAACAGAGTAATGCTGATTCGATGGGAATTTACATTCCTTACACTAGCTTGTCATTTATATTCAATTTAAAAATGGGTCATCATGTCAGAGCCTGCAATTTATGCCATTAAGGATATTTGAGTACTGACAAAAAAACACTCCTTTTCTCAGGAACTGAGGTCATCTTATACTTTAAAAGGTGTATCATAGTTGTTGTTTTTAAAATGATATATTACAAATGATTTGCCGTTTTAAATAAAAATTGAGGGAATACAATTATTACCAAGTTCTCCCTAACAACTAGTGCTTTAGGACTGCTCAACTAATAGGAAAGAAAAACAAAAACATCACTAGTGGCACTTCACAGAAAGAAAATATAGACATTTTTGTTTTTTAATTCAAATTGCTCTCAAAACCATAACTGCTTCAATGCAAGAATACCTTCTTTTTTTTTTTTTTTTTTTTGCCTCAGTTGCTATCAGATAACCTTTCAGTATTTGGTGCAATGTCTACTTTAGGTAAATGCCTTTTTTTCCCTCCCACACAGGATGTGAGATTCAACTGTTCTCCTTAGTGTGTTCTCTCTGCAATTCCAGACCCCATGAAATAAATCTCTGAAGCTTGCTTGTCTCCCAAACACTGTGTAAACCCACTGAAAACTTAAGTAATGGAGTAAACAGCTTTCTGTGGCTTCCTGCTTTTACTGCTTCAGTATTCAAAATCTTTCCTTTGCCAAGATAAATAACACTAACACAATCATAAATGGAGAAAATTTCATGAACATATTAAAATAATCTCATGTATTATAAATGTTTTATTTCTAAATTCAGCTCAATTTCCCTGATGCTAATTATCCCCGGAATATTTCCGAATTTGTTTTTTAATTCACTTTTTGGAGCAATGGACTATAACTATATTCTAATTGCTTAGAATATTCTGCTTATATATCTCTGATTGTGTGTTTCTAGTTCTTTCAACCTTGATGGTTGTGGTCTTTTTATAATCAGTGCAGTAGAAGGAGACAAAAAATATCTGGACTCTGTATGTACAGAATTTGAAGTACAATTGTTTTTCATAAGAAAGCTTTATAGGTTTTTTGGACCTACTCCACATAAAGAAAATGGGGTTCACGGAAATTTTATTATTTTTCACATGCTTTTAGCAGTATGTGAGTAAATGGTGTTCAGTACCACAAATGTCTTCGAGGAAAGCCTTTACTGAGGATTTCATTTTTTCATCCATTGGCAGATAGTCTACCTCCCTTGGATTTCAACCATTTCACAAATATTTATGGAAAGTTACCAATTTTTCAGTTATTGTTTCAGCTTGTGGGACCATGAGCAAATTAAACAATAATCCAATCCTCAGGGAGCTTACATTCTAGAAGGAGAGATAGATGATAAACAACTAATATGCTACACAGTATCAGCAATGATGAATGCTGGGAAAAAAAAAACAAAATAGGATAAGGAGCTAGATAATGACTACAAAAGGGCTATTTTAGATGGAGTGGTGAAAAAAGGCTTTTTTTTTTTTTTTTTTTAGATACAGGGAGCATATGTACAGGTTTGTTACATGGGTATATTGCACTCAGGTAGTGAGCATAATCCTCAATATGTAGTTTTCAACCCAGGACCCCCTCACTTTCTCCCCCTTCTAGCAGTCTCCAGGGTCTATTCTTCCCATCTTTGTATTGATGGGTGCTCAATGTTTAGTTCCCACTTGATTTTTTTTTTTTTTTGAGGCAGAGTCTCACTATGTCACCCAGGGTGGAGTGCAGTGGCACAATCTCAGCTCACTGCAACCTCCACCTCCTGGGTTCCAGCCATTCTCATGCCTCAGCCTCCCAAGTAGCTAGGATTACAGGCACCCACCACCTAGCCTGGATAATTTTTGTATTTTTTTTTTTTTAAGTAGAGAGAGGGTTTTACCATGTTGGACAGACTGGTCTTCAACTCCTGACCTCAAGCAATCTGCCTGCCTCACCACTTATAATTAATAAGGATTATGATCTCTAGGTCCATCCATGTTGCTGCAAAAGACATGATTTCATTCCTTTTTATGGTTGCGGAGTATATCATGTTGTATATATACCACATTTTTTCATCCAATTCACCACTTATTCCACGTCTGACTCCATGTCTTTGTTATAGTGAATAGCACAGCAATTAACATGAGTGCATGTGTCTTTTTGGTAGAATGATTTATTTTCCTTTGTCTATATACCCAATAATGGGATTGCTGGGTCAAATTGTAGCTCTGAGTTTTTTGAGAAACCTCCAAACTGCTTTCAAAAGTGGCTGAACTAAATTACATTTCCACCAACACTGTATAAGAATTCCTTTTTCTCCACAACTTGGCCAGTATCTGTTATTTTCTGACTTATATAATTTGGTTATCTCATTGTGGCTTTGATTTGCATTCTCTGATGATTAGTGATGATGAGTATTTTTTCATGTTTTTTTGACTGCTTGTATGTCTTCTTTTGACATATCTATTCATGTCCTTAGCCCCCATTTTTAAATGGGGTTGTTTTGTGCTTGTTGATTTAAGTTACTTATAGATTCTGGATATTAGACTTCTCAGATGCCTAGTTTTTTTACTATTTTATGTCATTCTGTGTATTTATGTCTATTTGGCTTCCTGAAGAAGGTGGCATTTGTGCAGTGAGGCCAGTTTATACTTCAATTGATCTGTGGCTCCTTCTGGAATGACTCACTAAATCCTACAGCTCTTATTTGTTAGCTGATGTTCTTGAGCCCTGCTAATGGCCCCTGCACCCTGTAGTTTCAACTGAATAGTGAACATAAACCCTCTATCTTTGCAAGAGTCTATCAGACTGCTTACTAAAAAGGCTTTCTATTACTGAGAAACCCTATCAGGTTTGCCGCACTACAGGTGAATTGAGAAAGCAACATTAGGTTCCATAATAATGATTAATATAAGATTATATGATGATTATGACAGTGATATATAATAAAAGTCACCCTTAAAATAAAGTTTTAAAATCTATGTGTACAATTTGTTCTTGTTTTAGTTATTTTAATGGGCCCTAAAGCTCTACATATTTTCTTGTTATTGTTTCTATAAAAGTAAATATTGATTTCCTCAGAGTTTGTAACATGTTGGTTATTACAAAACAAAGTAGACCATTGCTCATTGCCTGTGATAGATGTAGTAGAAAATGTTAAAGTTGAGTCATTTTAGTACAACCTTATTGCTTTTTAATAAATTTATCTTTCTTTACTGGTTCCTTTGAAAGTACCATTTAGATTGCAGGTATTCTTGTATAGGGTAATGACAGTTTTGGCTGCAAGGATAAACTTCTGGGAGTCATCTAGATGTCAATTGTTCTCATATTTATGAATTTCCTCCAAAGACTTCAGTGAGGTAGTGAAGAAAATCTTAGTTTACAAAGAGGTGAGAGGACAAAAGATAAATATATGGCAAACATGGTGACAATATTTTTGTCTTTTACCTCTCATAATGATGGTATTCAAATTACATTTACTTGATTATTTATTACCTTGACTTTATTTTCTGAGCATGATGGTTGATTCCTCATATTGAATTTTAGTTTTACCTTTTTGCATGACTGTTTATAATATTTAAATAAACTCAACTAATCAATAAAAGCTTTTTCCCTTTAATTATGGTGATTACTTTGAAGAATCAAGTTGTCTCTTTTATAGAAATAGTAATATTAAACCAAATTTGATTATCTATTCTTTGTTATTTTATAAAAGAATGTTTAGATAATACTAACTGCTCATTAAAGTTAATTCTACTATCTTTTTTGTTAATAAATATCCCTTCTATGTATGGATCTTTAAGAAAATTAACTAGATCCTACTAATGCCAGTAATATAAGAACTTATTTTTTTTTTACAGTAAAAATTTGGCTTATATATCAGATAGAAAAGCAATCCTTAGGAGAATATTTTCTAACATAACTCTTTGGGCAAAAGGTAGCTGATGTTATAATTTATTAATGCCAATTTAACAGTTACCTGGCTGAGAACTTTAGTGAGCACAATCTTTGTCAAGAAAACTGGAGCAGAAAAATCTAGAATCATCAGATTCCTGTTTATAAGCTGAATGAGCCTTTCACCGTGGATGTCTCCAGATTGCCCTTAGTTTCTGAAGAAAATTTCTTTAAGCCCTTTTAATTATGCCAGAAACTACACTTTCTTTTTTCTTTCTTTTTTTTTTTTTTTTTTTTTTTTGAGCCGGAGTCTCGCTCTGTCTCCCAGGCTGGAGTGCAGTGGCACAATCTCGGCTCACTGCAATCTCTGCCTCCCATGTTCAAGCGATTCTCCTGCCTCAGCCTCCTGAGTAGCTGGGATTACAGGTGTGCGCCACCGTGCCTGGCTAATTTTTTGTATTTTTAGTGGAGACAGGGTTTCACTGTGTTGCCCAGGCTGGTGTCGAACTCCTGACCTCGGGGGATCTGCTTGCCTCAGCCTCCCAAAGTGCTGGGATTACAGGCGTGAGCCATGGTGCCCAACCCCAAAAACTACACTTTTTAAAAGCTTTACTGTAGATAAATAAGCAGAATTCTCCTGGAACAGAAGAATAAACAGCATATGAATTTTCAATAAGAATTTATCTTTTGAATCTGTGAAATGAGACTGGAAACACAGAAGGGAACATTCTACGGATGGCTGCCAGTTCAACTGGTAGTTAAAAGAACAACTCAGAAGAAGCTGGACCAACAATCTGAAATTGAAACAGAAATTATCAAGGAGTCATAGAGTAATAGGATCTTGACAACTCTGAGTTTAAAAAGATACCTTAAAGTCCATGAAATAACCAATTGCTTAATGCTTTAATTTTTATAACAAAATGCTAGCTAAGTTGGCTGTCCAGCCTATGATTGAACACATACAGCAAACAACTTGCTGCTACACTTCTCTTTTATATTTCTATTAAAAAGTCATTTTAATAAAATTAAATCTGTTGATATTCATCCTAGCTTTATCCTTGGCAGGTTAAATTGAACCATTCTCATCACACAGAGCATATCAACAGCACACTGAAGAGAGAAATGAGCATTGTGGAGCCAAAGGAGGCTATTACACTCCTTTCATTGCAGAATTTAGAAACTATTTCTATTAATGTAGGTTTAGGATGACATTAACTTTTGTGGATGAACATCACACAGTTGACACAAAGTGAACTCAGGGGCAACTGTAACCTCAAATCAGTTTTAACAATGTTGCTGCCAAGTCATGTATCTCAATACACTACTTTAGAATCTACTTCTTCCTCCTTTTGTTAATAAGTTTTTAGTTTATCCTCTGGATTTCTCAAAATCACATCACCTATGTAAATGTATTGAGTACATGCTTATAATTCGGTCCAAATCATTAACAAACATGTTTAAAAAAGAGATATAAAGACCTAGACATTTGATACACCCATAGAAACTTACAGATTTATGTTAACTCTTAATCAGTGTCATCTGTACAGTCATTTACCCAGTTTGTAATCCAGTTAATTAGAGTAGCATTTAGCTATTCCTCCACTTTGGCAAGCAATGTGTCATTGACATGCTTTTCATATGTCAGTTGATATCCAGATATCCTGCTGTTACATATGACTTATCTTTGAAATTAATAATGCCATTAAAGAAAAAGAATTGTTCACTTTTTCTTTCTTTATCCCCCTCCTTCCACAATTCAGTCACTAAGTACAGCTGATTTTCTTCTAAACATGTTTATTTAATCATTTCTCTTTTCATTCTCCTTGTTGTACCTTCATCCAAGCATATTGCACCTCAATTTATTGCCTCTTACCATAGGTGGATCCGTGTTTAATGAAACTTGAAGCTGATACCATTTGAGGAATCCTATTTCAGAAAAATAATACAAAATTATGACGTAATTATGCATATTGAAAGTAGTCCATGCAGGGAAGGAGCTTAGGCTTAGCTTCACGGTAAAGCTGCCACTGTGCTTCACTGGTTGATCAGGTGTTTGGAGTAGAGTGGTAACAAGTCTGGCAAGGCTCCTGTTCCCATGGCACTTGAGTTCTAACCATAAGAAATAATTCTACCACCTTAAGGCTAGCACTGGGTCATGGTCCATGATGCTGATTTAATATGAGCATAACATTGGCACAAATATGGGAAGTTAGACATTAAAACAAACTGGTTGACAACTCATTTTCTTCCTGTCTTCCTTCTTTTTCTGTTTTATTTATTTAATAAACACATAATAATTGTACATATTTATGGGGTACAGTGTGATGTTTCCATATACAAATACATTGTATAATGATCAAATCAGGAGAGTTAGCATATCCACTACTTCAAATATTTACCATTTCTTTGTGGTGATAGAATTCAAAATCCTCTCCTAGCTATTTGGAAATATACAATAAATTATTGCTAACTATAGCCATCCTACTGTACAATAGAACACCAGGACTTACTCCTCCATCTACCCATAACTTTGTACCAATTGGTGAACCACTCCGTATCCCACACACTTACTCTCCTCAGCTTCTGGTCACTACCACTGTACTCTCTGCTTCTGAGATCAACTTTTAAAAATTGCACATATGAGTGAAATTATGCAGTATTTGTCCTTCTGTGCTTAGTTTATTTCAGTTAACATAGTGACCCCCAGCTCAATTCATGTTGCTGCAAATGGCAGGATTTCATTCTTTTCCATGACTAAATAGTATTTCATTGTATACATATGTACCATATTTTTAATCCATTCATCCATTGATGTACACCTAGGTCGATTCCATGTTTTGACTATTGTGAATAGTGCTGTAATAAACATGGGAATGCAGGCATCTCTTTGCCATGCTTATTTCATTTCCTTTGGCTCTATACCAAGTAGTGGGATTGCTGGATCATATGGTAGTTCTATTTTTTATTTTTTGAGGAATGTCAATACTGTTGTCCATAATGGCTGTACTAATTTACATTCCCACCAACTGTGTCTGTGTTCCTTTCTCAACATTTTTGCCAGCATTTGTTATTTTTTGTCTTTTTAAAAATTGATACATGTCATTTATAATAGTCCTCTTTTTCTCTCCTTCTTCTTCTTATTATCTATTTTAGACTCAGATGCAGATTCCTCTTCCTCCCAACCCACACTCTATTCAGATCTGTTCTTCCCAACGTGACCTTGACTTTCATCTTAATGTTTTAATTTGAAGCATCTGCCCCGGGAAAGCTATTTTCTAAATTTCTGGTTCCCAGTCTGCTGACTTCCTAGTTCCTCCGTCTCAAGGACACCAGAACATAGGATGAGTAGGCAGGTAAAATGTTCAGTTGTAAAAAGCAGGGACTGGAAATTCATGCTTTGTGTTCTTTACCATGGACTTGTTCCTTGCTGTGAATGTCAGGAGAGTCTGTGGGACCATATTTGTAGTTTTGCTCTTTTATAAAATCCAATATGTATTATGATCATAAGTATATGAACATTCATTTATCACCTTAAATTATATGTATAGGAGAACCTTGACATTGCTGTCTACCAAGCTCTTTCTGAATGTCTACTTTTATATTGTGAAATTTACATCCTGAAAAACACTATTGTATGATCTTTTAAAATGTAAACCAGTGAAAATGAACTGCCTGCATTAGGAATAACAGGAAAGCTTTTTAAAGAGCAGATTTCCAAATTTTGTCTCACCACATGTATACAGAACAACAAATGCCTTCATGGAAAATGACAAAGTCAGTGGTTCACAACTTCTAGCAAGCACCAGAATCACCAAAAGGGCTGGCTACAATGCAGACGGTGGGGCCCCAACCCAGTAGTTTCTGATTAAGTCAGTTTGGAGTGACCCCCAAGAGTTTGCATTTGTAACAAGTTCCCAAGTGGTACTGATGCTACCAGCTCATGGGCTACCCTTTGAGAAGCCCATTGGACTAGGACTTCCCAAAGCCCAGTGTCATGTACAGAGGCATACTTTTACCACAGGTTCACTGTGAATACTATTTAAATCAATGCCTCAGCAAAATTACAAACTACCACATGTCACAGATTTAACAATCACTTGTAAGTGGTCAACTTTAAATCCATAAATGCCAACAGTCTACTGAACTTGATCTGCCTTTTTTACAGTTGAGTACTAAATTGAAGCTTAACCTTTTTTTTTTTTTTCTAAAAAGGGACACACATCTTTTATTCAAGTACCTGGACAATACTGTAATTGAGATTGAAAATCCAATGGCAATGTCCAAATGCAAAGATCAAGCTTTTATTTAAATTTCTAGCTGAATAACTGTTTCTATGTATTAGCACTAAAATAGTCATTTGTTTTAAATCTGTGACAGTGTGGCAAGAATCGTATAGTAGCAACTTTTGCTAGATTGTTTGCTTTAAGAAACACTTCCAAATTTTCACTGGCTTACAACAATAAGATGTATGTCTTATCCATGTTATAAGTAGCCTGTAGATAGCTCCTGTTCTGCTCTCTCTTCTCATTCTGGGACCCAGGTGACAAGCCATTGTCATGGTAGAGGAAGGGAGAAATGGCTGAAGCTTACTATGGCTCTTATGCTTCTGCCTTGACATGGTGTATGGCATTTCTGCTTACAGTCCATTGTGCAAATAGTTAGTTACGTGGCTCAGCCAGATGTCAGTGTATCACATGATCACATGTGTTGCTGTGTAATCCTATAGGTTGGGCATCAAATAATTAGACATAAAAGTACAATATTACATACTAGAAACTAGACTTTATATTTAGCTCTACATAGTCCAGAGAGTATGCTCAGAAGTTGCAGTGACTAATAGAAGACTTCAGAATAAAGAATGGGTTATTTCTTTTCTAAAAAATAAATCTTGTGTATATTTGAGGTTTACAACATGATGTCATGGGATACATATAGTAGTAAAATGGTTATTAAAGTGAAGCGGATTAATAAATTTATTATCTCAGTTACTTTTTTGTGTGCAAAAGCAGCTAAAATATTATTTTAAAAAAATCCCTATTACAAAAAAATTTTATTAACTTTAGTCCTCATGTTGCACAGTAGATCTCTAAACTTGTTCATCCTGTGTATCTCCTATTTTATGCCATTTTTTTCTCTCCCTGCACCCCCACCTATGGTAAACAGTTTGTATTAGTCTGCTCTCACAGTGCTATAAAGAATACCCAAGGCAGGGTAATTTATAAAGAAAAGAGGTTTAATTGGCTCATGGCTCCTCAGGCTTCACAGGAACCATAGTAGTTTCTGCTTTTGGGGAGGTCTTAGAAATTTTCCAATCATAACAGAAGGCAAAGGGGGAGCCAGCACTTCACATGGCCAGAGCAGGAGGAAGGTGAGGGAAGGTGCCACATACTTTTAAACAACCCAATCTCATCAGATTCACTATTATGAAAATAGCACCAAGGGGGAAATCCACCTCCATGATTCAATTGGCTTCCATTGGGCCCCACCCCCAACATTGGGATTACAATTCAACATGAGATTTGGATGGGGACACATATCCAAACTCATTCCAGGCCTGGCCCCTCCAAATCTCATGTCCTTCTCACATTGCAAAACACAATCATGCCTTTCCAATAGTCCCCCCAAATCTTGACTCATTCCAGCATTAACTCAAAAGTTCAAAGTCCAAAGTGTCATCTGAGACAAGGCTAGTCCCTTCTGTCTATGAGCCTATAAAATCAAAAACAAGTGAGTTACTTCCAAGATACAATGGGGCATAGGCATTGGGTAAATACTCCCATTCCAAAAGAAAGAAATTGGCCAAAAGAAAGGGGCTACAGGCCCCATGCAAGTCTGAAACTCAGCAGGGAAGTCATTAAATTGTAAAGCTCCAAAATAATTTTCCTTGATTCCATGTCTCACATCCAGGGCACACTGGTGTCAGGGGTGAGCTCCCAAGGCCTTGGGCAGTTCCACTCCTGTAGCTTTGCAGGGTTCAGTCCCTACAGCTGCTCTCATTGGCTGGTATTGAGTGTCTGCAGCTTTTCCAGGTGCACAGTTCAAGCTGCTGGTGATCTAAAATTCCAGGATCTGGAGGATGGTGGCCCTCTTCTAACAACCCCACTAGACAATGCCCCAGTGGGGACTCTGTGTGTGGGCTCCAATCCCACATTTCCCCACTGCACTGCCCTAGTACAGGTTCTCCATGAGGGCTCCACTCCTGCAGCAGAATTCTGCCTGGCCATCCAGGCTTTTCCATACATCTTCTGAAATCTAGGAGGAAGTTCTCAAGCCTCAACTCTTGCATTCTGTGCACCTGCTGGCTTAACACCACACGGAAGCCACCAAGGCTTATGATTTGCATCCTCTCAAGCAGTGGCCCAAGCTGTACCTGTACCCAAGCTGGGCCCCTTTTAGCCACAGCTAGAACTGGAGCGGCTGGGATGGGAGAGAAGTGTCCTGAGGCTGCACAGGGCAGAAGGGTGCTGGGTCTGGCCCGCAAAACCATTCTTCCCTCCTACTTCTCCAGGCCTGTGTTGGGAGGGGCTGTAGCAAAGGTCTCTGAAATGCCTTCAAGGCCTTTTTCTCCATTGTCTTGGCTATCAGCACTTATTTTCCTTTTAGTTATGCAAATTTCTGCAGGCTGCTTAAATTGCTCCCCTGAAAATAGGAAACTTTTCTATTTTTCTTTTCTACCACATGGCTAGGCTACAAATTTTCCAAACTTTTATGCTGTGGTTCCCTTTTAAATTAGAATTTCCAATTACAGGTCTTTTCTTTGCTCACTCACATAAGCATAGGTTGTTAGAAGTAGCCATGTTACAACTTGAATGCTTTGCTGCTCAGAAATTCCTTTCACCAGATACCCTAAAACATCACTCTGTAAGTTCAAATTTCCACAGATCCCTATAGCAGGGGTACAGTGCAGCCAGGCTCTTTGCTAAAGCATAACAAATGTGATTTTTGTTCCAGTTCCAATAACTTCCTTATCTCCATCTGAGACCTCATCAGCCTGGGCATCTCTGTCCATATCACTGTCAGCATTTCAGTTACAACCATTCAACAAGTCTCTAGGAAGTTCCAGATTTTCCCTTATCTTCTTGTCTTCTTCTGAGTCCTCCTAACTCTTCCAACCTCTGCACATTACACAGTTCCAAAGTTGCTTCCACATTTTCAGGTATCTTTATAGGAATGCACAACTCTCAGTACCAATTTTATGTATTAGTCCATTCTTGCACTACTATAAAAAAAATCTGGGACAGGATAATTTATAAAGAAAAGAAGCTTTATTGGCTCATGATTCCAGATTCCACAGGCTGTACAGAAAGCATAGCATAGCTTCTACTTTTGGGGAGGCCTCAGGAACATGGCTTCCAATCATGGGGCAGACAAAAGGGGAGCCAGCGCTTCACATGGTGGAGCAGGAGTAAGAGGCAGGGAGGTGCCACACACTTTTAAATGCCCAGATCTTGCGAGAACTTACTTACTATCATGAGAACAGGACCAAGGGGGTATTCCTCCTCCATGATCCAATCACCTCCCACCAGGCCCCACCTCCAACATTGGGGATTACAATTCAACAAGAGATTTTGTTGGTGACACAGATCCAAACATGTCACAGTTTCATTTGCTATCTCTGTGTATTTGAGCACTTTTAAAAATATATATGTTCTGCACATAAGTGAGATCATGTAATATATTTTTTCTGTGTCTGGATTATTTTACTTAGCCTAATGTCTTCCAAGTCCAGCCATGTTGTGGCATATGGCAGTATCTCCTCCTTTTTTTAAGGTTGAATACAATTCTATTGTATATGCCATATTTTCTTTATCCATTCATCTATCAATGGACATTTAGGTTATTTCCAGATCTTGGCTATTGTGAATAATGCTGTAATAAACATGGGAATATAGGTATATTTACAAGGCAGTGATTTCATCTCCTCTGGATATATACCCAGAAGATGGATTGCTGGGTTGTATGGTAGTTATATTTTTAATTTCTTCAGGAATCTACATACTATTTTCCATAGTGGCTGCACCAATCAACATTCACCACAACAGTGTACTGGGGTTCCTTTTCTTCATACCCTTGCCAACTTGTGTTATCTCTTGTCTTTTTGCTAACAGCCATCTTTATGGGTGTGACGTGCTATATCACAGTGATTTTAAGAACAGCTATTTCTTATCTACACACTATTAGAAAAAAAATACAAGGCCAAGTGATCAACAAACTGAAAAGGAAAGAGCATTACTATAGTTCTGGGCAGTCCATTCCTGAAAATAGAAAGTATTAGCCAAGTTCTTTGCTTTTCCATCTGTAATGCAGAATTAGAAAACATCCCATAACCCTTTAGGGATATTAAGGATAATATGAGGATTTATTATTTTTCAGAGAGGCTAAGTAATTTCCCTCAAGATATTTTCAAGGTTCTGTGTTGACCCTGGGAAAAAAATTGCTCAAAAGTCTAAATGTATTTTTAGTTGTTATTAATGCCATGACATTGTACTTGCTCTGGATAGAATACATGAAAACTTAATTTCTGGCCTTGTTAAAATAAATTTAAATTGCTTTAAAACTTTTTTTTTTTTTTACTTTGATAGATTGTGTACTCTCTACTGTTATGTGAATAGGGCCAAGGGCACTTGGTAATAAAATTAACTTTGATCTCCTTTCTAAACTTAATAGAATTATGTTACATATTTGTTTATATATAATTAATGCTTGGAATAACACATTTTACTCCTCTGGCATAGTTTTCTACTCACCTATTTTCTACACATACAGTCATGCATTGCTTAAATATGGGGTTAGGCAAGTTCAATTTTGTCACTGTGCAAAGATCACAGAGTATACATACACAAACCTAGATGGTATAGCCTACTACATACCTGGGCTACAAACCTGCACAGTATATTACTATACTGAACACTTTAGTCAATTTAATACAATACTATTTGTGTATCTAAACATTTCTAAACATAGAAAAGGTACAGTAAAAATATGACATAAAAAATAGAAAACGATACACCTCTACGGGGCAGTTACCGTGAATGGAGCTTGCAGGACTGGAAGTTATTCTGAGTGAGTGAAGAGTAAATGTGAAGACCTAGGACAGTACTGTACACTACTGTAGACT
This sequence comes from Homo sapiens, assembly GCF_000001405.40. Taxonomy (NCBI): domain Eukaryota; kingdom Metazoa; phylum Chordata; class Mammalia; order Primates; family Hominidae; genus Homo; species Homo sapiens. The sequence continues at coordinate 38,324,283 of NC_000014.9, forward strand.
TCATAAACACTGTAAATTTAGGCTACACTAAATTTATACAAGAATATTTTTATTTCTTCAAAAATAAATTAACCTTAGTTTACTGGAACTTATTTTCTTTTAAAAATCTTTAATTTTTTACAACTTGTTGACTCTTTTGTAATAACACATCTTAAAACCAAACACACTGTACAGCTGTACAAAAATATTTTCTTTCTTTATATCTTTATTAGCTTTTTTCTAATTTTCTTTTTCTTTTTTTTTTAAAAAAACTTGTTTGTTGAAAACTAAGACACACAGACATTAGCCTATACCTACACAGGGTCAGGATCATCAATATCACTGTTGGTCACCTCCATATTTTGTCCCACTTGAAGGTCTTCAGGGGTAATAACATGAAGGAAGCTCTCATCTCCTATGATAACAGTGCCTTCGCCTGCAATGTCTCCTAAAGGACCTGCCTGAGGCTGTTTTACAGTTAATGTTTTTATATATAGAAGTAGGTTACACTCTAAAATAATGATAAAATATACAGTACAGTAAACACATAAATTAGTGATAGTCATTATTATAAAGTATTATGTCCTATACCTAATTATATATGCTATATTTTTATATGACTGGCAGTGCAGTATGTTTGTTTATACCAGCATCACCAGAAACTGGTGAGTAATGCATTATAACTACAGCATTATGATGGCTAAGACATCACTAGGCAATAAGAATTCTTCAGCTCTGTTACAACCCATCATTGACTGAAACATCCTTAGGTGGCTCATAACTGTACTTAAAAAAATTTACTTACTGAAATTTTTGTTGCTAATGGAAGAAATTCTTTTTCTTTTCCAGTTTTAATGAGGTAAAATTGACAAATAGGAATTGTATATATTTAAGGCATGCAACTTGATGTTTTCATATATGTATATGTTGTGAAATAATCATCAAAATTAAGCTAATTAACAGGTGTATCATATCTCATAATTACCATTTTCTTGTGTAGGGGGTTGGAGGGGTGCATGGGACACTTAAGATACACCCTCAGCAAATTTCAAGTAAATACTGGTATTTTTTGCCAATCATCACTGGTCATCAGAGAAATGCAAATCAAAACCACAATGAGATACCATCTTACACCAGTTAGAATGCCGATCATTAAAAAGTCAGGAAACAACAGGTGCTGGAGAGAATGTGGAGAAATAGGAACACTTTTACACTGTTGGTGGGAGTGTAAACTAGTTCAACCATTGTGGAAGACAGTGTGGTGATTCCTCAAGGATCTAGAACTAGAACTACCATTTGACCCAGCAATCCCATTACTGGGTATATACCCAAAGGATTATAAATCATGCTACTGTAAAGACGCATGCACACGTATGTTTATTGCAGCACTATTCACAATAGCAAAGACTTGGAACCAACCCAAATGTCCGTCAATGATAGACTGGATTAAGAAAATGTGGCACATATACACCATGGAATACTATGCAGCCATAAAAAAGGATGAGTTCATGTCCTTTGTAGCGACATGGATGAAGCTGGAAACCATGATTCTGAGCAAACTATCACAAGAACAGAAAACCAAACACCGCATGTTCTCACTCATAGGTGGGAATTGAACAATGAGAACACTTGGACACAGGGTGGGAAACATCACACATGGGGGCCTGTCCTGGGGTGCGGGGATGGGGGAGGGATAGCATTAGGAGAAATACCTAATGTAAATGATGAGTTAATGGGTGCAGCAAACCAACATGGCACATATATACATATGTAACAAACCTGCATGTTGTGCACATGTACCCTAGAACTTAAAGTATAATAATAAAAAAAAAACACTGGTATTTTTAACTATCATCACCGTGCTGTATATTAGATCTCCAGAACTCATTCATCTTTCCTAATTGAATCTTTCTTTGTTCCCTTTGATGAACATCTCTCTATTTCTAACCTCCACCCCTCCCAGTGTCCCTGGCAACAACTTTACTCTCTACTTCTTTGAGTTTGAGTATGGACTGCAAGGAAAAAATTCTAATTGCTCTTTTACAATAGGCAGCAGCTGAGCTATCAAGACTGTAGCTACTTTTATACCAATTCGCTCAGGGATGTCTGTTGTGATGTAAGTGGCTTCCTGGACCCTTCACTGGTGGCTTGCTGTTAAGATAGTGCAGAGAACTATGTTATTGAATTTTTTAACTTTTATTTTATTCTCTGGCAATTCCCAAGTACCAAGAGCTATGATGTAAAAGGTGCTATCTGTTTACCAGCTGCCACAATAAACAGGACAACTTTTAATTTCCATGACTACTGAAATCCAACAATAATAGTGGGCTGCCTCGATAAATCCAAGTGACAGTTCAGAATACCTGGGGCCTGGGGTCTGAGACAAGAATCATGGCAACACTTGATGTGATTGAACAGCGAGAAATAAACCATTCCTTTGAGGGGTGCAATGTCTAATTAGTAGCAGAGAATATTAATACAACATGGCTGTGGTTAAGGGACCTGTATGTACATTTTCCTTTAGTCTTAAATTATGTTTTTAGCACCTTATTATTAATATATGATACCTATACCTTCAAAGCCTTAGTATTATCTCATTCTCTCCTCGCAGTCTTTCTGGTCATATTCACTTTGCAGATAAGGAAATTACATTTCAGATAATTTAAGCAACTTTTCCAAATCACGCATCTAGTTAATGAAAAAATTACAACTTGAACGCAGGTCCTCCATTTCATATTCTGACACCCTTAACACTAATGATGGCTGCTTATTACTGATTTTTGTAAAAAATAATCAAACTGGCCTTGCAGTCAGTTCAGTTCCCTCATTAAAATTGCTGACAGCATTGGATTGCTTATTCTTAATTTCATGTTCATAATTACATAAAATGATCTTGATGTCTATTACACCTATTTATTAGAAGCATTTAATAATAGTCAAATCTTCCTTCTAGACATAGGACCTACTTACCAGGGCAGGACTGGTAAATTTCCAGATTTATAGAAAGTGTTTTTTACATGAAACTTCAGGCTTGAGTTTGCCAGAAGATTCTACCAGATATCTGAACCATCCACAACTAAGACATCAAATTTGAGCACAGATGATATATCTATTGTCACATCTCTCCCCTGTGCCCCTCAAAGTTACTTGAATCAATGAGAAGTCAGTTGGGATAAGCAAAAATATACATTTTAGAGAAGACAGGAATTGCTGACATTTTAGTCTATTACTTTCTCTAGGTTGCCTTGATACATATGAATGATACCATGAGAAATACAGTACTTGGTCTTTGCTGCAGAGAACATACAGTCTATATGGGGAGATAGGACATACACATCAAATAAGATAACTAACAATGTATATTAATTAATTATTTCACCATGTATTCAACAAATATTTATTGAACACCAAACTTGTGCCAGGTATTATGCTAAACGAACAAAATAGAGAGGTTGTAGTACAGACATTAAAGCAACATGAACACCACAACAAAATACAAAATTTAAGTGTTGCCTTAGTCCACTCAGGTTGCTAAAACAAAATACCATAAGTTGGTGGCTTATAAACAAGAGAAATTTATTTATCACAGTTCTTGAGTCAGGGAAGTTCAAGGTCAAGGTGCTGGTGGACTCAGTGTCTGGTGAGGGCCCATCTTTTCATAACTTTACACGGCAGAAGGGAAAAACTTGTACCTCTTTAGTGCCTTATAAGGGCACTAATCCCATTCATGAGAACTTCGCCGTCATGACCTAATCACCTCCTAAAAACCCTACCTCACAATACCGTCATTGGTGATTACATTTCAACTTATGAATTTTGGTGGAATACAAGCATTTAGATCATAGCAGGAGTAGATGTTAAAGCAATATACAGGTTGGTGCAAAAGTAATTGCGATTTGCCCAAACTGATAGCTGTCACATACCTGTGACAAATGGAGGATGACCCTGGTGTTTTCACTGAAGGGCATTTGCAGCCCTAAAGAATGAATACACATAACAGAATGTATTTTATGGCTGAATAATGCTCCATTGTGTATATATACTACATTTTCTTTATCCACTCATCCATTGATGGACATATAGGTTGTTTCCAACTCTTGGCTATTGTGAATAGTGCTGCAGTACACATAGGAGTGCAGGTATCTCTTTTCCACACTAATTCCCTTTCTTTTGGACATATACTCACCAGTGGGATTGCTGGATTATACGGTACTTCTATTTTTAGTTTTTTGAGGGACCTCCATATTGTTCTCCATAATCGCTGTACTAATTTACATTGCCACTAACAATTTATGAGAGATCCTCTTTCTCCACAACCTCACCAGCATTCATTATTGCCTGTCTTTTGGGTAAAAGCCATTTTAACTGGGATGAGATGATATCTCATTGTAGTTTTAATTTTCATTTCTCTGATGATCAGTGATGTGGAGCACTTTTTCATATACCTGTTGGTCATTTGTATGTCTTCCTTTGAGAAATGTCTATTTAGATCTTTTGCCTCTTCTTTAATAATATTATTTGCTTTTTTCCTATTGAGTTGTTCGAGATTTTTAATATTTGAGTGCTTAAAAGAAATTTAACTCATGAAGATAGAGAGTAGAATAATGATTTCCAGGCTGAAAAGGGTAGTGGGAAGGGGGAGATAAAGAGGGAATAATTAACGCATACAAAAATATAGTTAAAAATAATAATATCTAGTGTTCAGTAGCACAGTTGGGCAACTACAATTAAAAATAATTTATTGTATATATCAAAATAACCAAAAGAGTTAAATTGAAATGTTCCTACACAGAGAAATGATAGATGCTTGAGGTGATGGATATCCCAATTACACTGACTTGATCATTATATATTGTATGCCTATATAAAATATCACACATACCCCAAAGATATGTACAATTCTTATGTATCCATGAAAATTAAAAATTAAAAAAGGAACAGATAGAATCAAAAAGAGAAAATATTTTAGATTAGATATGTGTAAAGTTATAGAAGATGGAAGTGAGTAGAACTTATCTGGGAGTAATGAATATGCTACTTATTAGAAGGGAAGAAGAAGGAGAAAGGATTTGGGATGAATCAGTGGAAGGGTTTGAATTACAGGTTAGTATGTTTAGATAGCTTGTTGCAATAGGGCATGACTAAAGTTACCAAACAGAAAAACAGGTGAACAAAGCAGCAACCTGAGATGATTAATCTGGCTACAGTATGCAAACTGGATTGTTGTAAAGGGGTTGGGGAAGATACCAAGAGTAGATAAGGGTGGAGGACAGATTGGGAGGGGGTCAAGGGAGACTTCTAGAATGTGAAAAATTATCTACGTCTTGATCTGGTGGCTGGGCTTAAGCATATACATACACAGAATGTCAACAAACTGAGCATTTAATATTTGCTTACTTTACTGAATGTTTTACTTCAATACCAAATTACTAATAAAAGAAAAACAGTGCTTATGAGGATGGAGGCTGGGGGCAATGGAGAGTGATTATCTTTCCCTCATCTCTTGTATCTAATCCATCAGTAAACCTAAGTGATTCTACCTCCAAAACATATCTTTATTCTAACTACTTCTTTCCATCTCTACTACTTTCTTCCTAGTCCAAGCTAATGCTATCACTCAGCTGGAATATTACAGTGCCTTTCTAACTGTCTTCTTTTCACTTCTACTTCTGTCCCACCCCTCCCAGTTTGTTCTTGGTACAGGGGCCAAAGTCAGATTCTTTAGAAAAGATCATGTCACTCAAGCTGAAAATCCCTCAGGGCTTTCATCTTATTTAACTGAGTCTCATACAACCTCCTAAATCTGATTTACCAAGCTCCATGTGACCCAATCTTTGCCTACCTCCACACCAACCCATCCTGCTATGCTCTAGATACCCTGCCCTTTCTTTTCCTCTAACATGCCACATTCTTTCTCAGTCTAGGGCTTTGGAACTAGCTATTATTACTCTGACTAGAATGCTTTTTCCTGTTTTTCCTGGACTTTTTCTTGTCACACAAATCTCCATTTAAACATTAGCCTTTTAGAAGGTGGCTGTTAACATTCTAGTAACATGAGGCAGACAAGAAATAAACATTACTTAAATACAAAGAATATCAACAGTGATAGGTGCTAGGCAGAGAACTGATGTAGCATGATGTGACAGTGTCATTAGAAAGGCCTTTTGAAGACCTGCTAAATTATCCCTCTGTCTCTCATGTTTATCATCTTCTCCCCCTTTGCAAATACTGTGGTATTCACAACACTGGATTTAAATTCTACCTTCCCTGCTGTGTAACCATTTACATATCACTTAGCTTCTAAGAATGTCCGTGACTGCATCTTTAAAATAGAAATAATGGTATTTTCTTCCGCATAGATTTGTTGGGAGATTTGCATGAGATATTCATGAAAAGCATTTAGCACAGTAACTATCACTTATTAGCAATTGTTATTAACCTAAGTGAAATGGGGTTTAATAAATGTTAGCTATTGTGATATTGTGGTAAAAAGCACTAGTGGGTGAACATGAGGTATTCATGTTTTTAGGCTTCAAGCTGAGACATCATCCTCATTAAACTAACACAGGAACAGAAAACCAAACACCACATGTTCTCACTTAGAAGTGGAAGATGAACAATGAGAACACATGGACACAGGGAAGGGAACAACACACGCTGGGGCCTGTTAGGGCAGGGTGGCGGGGCAGGGAAAGGGAGAGTGTTTTAGTTTGTTTTCATGCTGCCAGCAAAGACATACCCGAAACTGGGAACAAAAAGAGGTTTAATTGGACTTACAGTTCCACATAGCTGGGTGAGGCCTCAGAATCATGGCGGGAGGTGAAAGGCACTTCTTACACGGTGGTGGCAAGAGAAAAAAAATGAGGAAGAAGCAAAAGCAGAAACCCCTGGTAAACCCATCAGATCTTGTTAGACTTAATCTCTATCATGAGAATAGCATGGGAAAGACCAGCCCCTATGATTCAATTATCTCCCCTGGGTACCTCCCACAACATGTGGGAATTCTGGGAGATACAATTCAAGTTGACATTTGGGTGGGGACACAGCCAAACCGTATCAGAGAGCATCAGGATAAATAGCTAATGCAGGTTGGACTTAATACCTAGGTGATGGGTTGATAGCTGCAGCAAACCACCTGGCACATGTTTCCCTATGTAACAAACCTGCACACCCTGCATGTGTATCCCAGAACTTAAAATAAAATTAAATTTAAAAAAAAACATTTTTAGGGAACCAAGGACCATCACCTCACATAGGTAACAAATGAGTATTTTGTCTCCTCAAAGGTACCGTATATCCAAAAATACATGGTATTGTCCGAGGCATGTGAACCAGAGCAACTCCATCTTAAATAAGCTGGGTAAAATGAGGCTGAAACCTACTGGGCTGCATTCCCAGATGGTTAAGGCATTCTAAGTCATAAGATGAGATAGAAGGTCAGCATAAAATACAGGTCATAAAAGACCTTACTGATAAAACAGGTTACAGTGAAGGAGATGGCCAAAACCCACCAAAACCAAAATGGCCACGAGAGTGACCTCTGGTCGTCCTCACTGCTACACTCCCATCAGCGCCATGACAGTTGACAAATGCTATGGCAACGTAAGGAAGTTACACTCTATGGTCTAAAAAGGAAAGGCATGAACAATCCACCTTAGCATATCATCAAGAAATAACCATAAAAATGGGCAACCAGCAGCCCTTGGGGATGCTCTGTCTATGGAGTAGCCATTCTTTTATTCCTTTACTTTCTTAATAAACTTGCTTTTACTTTGCACCTGAATTATTTCTTGTGTGAGGTCCAAGAACCCTCTCTTGGGGTTTGGATCAGGACCCCTTTCCTGTAACAGTATCACATGACCAACCTTATTATTATATCTCAAAGACAATAGATACAGCATCTCAAAGTCTTAGATATATCATCTCTTTCCAAAATGACACTATTTTTAGCCTCAGTAATAAAGTTTGCTAGGTCACCCAAATTACCTTGAAGGAAGTTTCATTAAACACAGCTTTTATTTGCTTACAGGAATCTGAGAGATTATATTTTATTTTAGATTGCTAAAGTGATTCTGTTAACAGATCACAAACCATTATATCAATCCAAAGACAGTGAAAAGGCAAACAGGCAACTCTTTCATCTTTTTCTCTCTCTGTGGAATAAGGTTGATGAGACATTGCAACTTAACACAAAATACTCTTTATAAAATGGGTTGCAAATAAATAGAGAAATGTGACTCTTTTGTCTTAAATATGTGCCACAGGTATGCTTTTGAATCTTCATAGGGTTCACGGATTGTCTGGGAAAGTTCTATAGGTTTGCAATTATTCTGACAAATAAAAGCTCTGCTGTTGGCTAGGTCTAGCAACCTGGATACCAAAATTCAATACACTGCTTTTAACATGAATCTCAGCATTTTCTGGGATTGTTTATAATGTTTAAAACCAAATCTAAGCTCGTGTAGAAAGGGATGAAGACATCTTTGAGAAAAGTATTATTTGAAAGTCAAAAGGAGCATCAAATAGGAATAGGTCTCCATTTCTTATAAGTTTTCTGTATTAGGTTACACCCTATCTTCTTACTCACTCAAAGAAAAAGACATTTTAAAAAAATTCTTACTACTACCAAACAGTATTAGTGCTAATTTCATAGCGTCATAATATATCTGATCAAGAACCCTTTTTATTAACGTTTAATACTATAATGGATTTTTTCTCATTTAATGTTAATTGTTTTTTGCCATGTGTGTATTGCCTATATTTGGACTGCATTACATTTAGAATATTCCAGTCTTCAGAAAAAAATGTTTACGTTCTATTGGGCTTTTATTTTTCTTTTTGTTTGATAATGCTACTAATTTTATGACTCTTCCAACTAAGATTCTCTTTCTAGTCTTCAGAGTTTAATTAAGGGCTTACTTACATAATAAAGAGTAATGTTTTTATTATACTTTAAAGGATTTTAGTACAAGTGAAGATGATTCTTATTAAAAGTGTCAAAGTATTTTAAAAAGGGAACTGTGTATAATCTGGCAAATTGTCAGATATCTTCAATTACTAAAGATCAAAAGGCAATTAATACCTGACTTTCAACTGAGCCTCATTTGCATCAAAAATTAAAGAATTACTTAAAATATTGAGGTATTTTTAATAATAATAAATTATATTGCTGAATTTTCCTTTTTTCAAGCATCTTAAAATATTTCACAGAATGCTTTTCAGCAAATGCGCATCTTCTCCCAGGAAAGAGACCATGCCTTAGGACTTATTCAAAAATGGAAAAAAGTAACTGTAACAGAACTAATATTTAAATTTTGAAAATTATACCAGGATTAAGTTAATACTTGCACTAGAATACTGCTGTGAAAATCAGAATATCAACAGTTAGATTAATGTCATTTTACAACTGACTCTTAGGATGCATTTGGCATGTTTTGACTTTAAAAGTATCAATCTAAATCTTTAATTTTGCAATATTCATCATAGCAGTGACAAATGATGATTAAAACAAACTCTATCTTGAATGTTGCCATTTGCCCTATTTTCTACTGAAGATAAACTTCATTTTATGTAGTTTTTATGTGGCAGATACTATGCCAAATGTGTTACATATCTCAATAACTACAAGAGCTCTTTGAAGTAAATATAAGCTCTATGAGGGTAAATACGTAAATGTAAGTTCTATGAGTCTGTCTGTTTTGTTCACAGATACACATCTAGTACTTAATACTGTGTCTGCCACATGAGGGGGTTCAATATATATTTATTAAATTGAATAAATGTTACCGATGGGGTAAGTGAAAGTGCTATGTACATAAACACAAAGCCATATTTTTGTTTGGCTAGATTCTTACCTTGCATCTTTGTGGTACTATAGAGAAGACTTTCTGAGAAAAACTTTCTTTTTCTTCCAAATGTAGAAAGAGCAATCCATAATTCGGCATAATTTTTTAGCTTTCTTCTGTGGGTTTACAACAGCAAGGCTTCCAAGCTGCAGATCAGATATTAGGACTGATTACTACAAGATAAATGGCACTCATGGGTAGGGGTTGTATCGATATTAAAATATAGTTTTAGAAGACTTCTAAAACTGATGTTCTCTTGAGGCCTTACATTTGCAGGACACCTGAGCTGAACTTTAGCCTACTGAGGTTAGCCCAAAAGGATCAGGAAAGATAATTGAGAGGCATTCTTCAGTAGACCATAAGTAACTAAGTTCACTCACAGATCATCAATCCACTTTTATAACTTTCACTGGAATCAAGTTTTGCTCTATTCCCAATCTAGGATGAGAGACTATGAAGGTCCATGGAACCCAAGTTTGGAACTAGTGTGGTCAAAGATGAGGGAAGTCCATGCATAGGGCTAACTTGGGATTTCGAGGTCATTGGACAAGGTCATTTAAGAGATCTCTTTTTCAAATGCAGGTGGATACTGGATTAGGGAAGCCAAAAATAGGCAACATTGGTGAATCCAGAAAGCGAAAACCCAAAGATCATGCCGAAAGTCTCTCTTTATGGCCATTTTCCCTGTCTGCACCCAAGGTGTCCACTGCTATTTCTTTAGCACAGGTTCCACATATTTTGGAAACATATTCTCAAAACTAGGTAGCTGATTTCTGATAGAATGACTACTAGCAAACTTAAGGAAGACAACTAAGTTAGTAAAATGCTTTAATATCAAAAACAGCTTCACTGAAAGTACAAGTTCACACGCTAGTGTTAGTTTTGGGGTTATAGTTTCTGTTGATAATCCACAGCTCTAAGAATGCTCCTTACCATATTCAGAACCATTACTTTATCTCATTTTATTTTATTGTAGTAGGAACACTTAACATGAAATAGATCCTCTTTACTCATTTTTTATTCTCCTGGTTTTTTTAGTCTTGTGGGACTCAGCACTTCATCTGTAGGATCTGGTGTATCTCCAGGCCTCTTTACAAATGTTTATGTGTCTAATACAGCACTGTTGACTATAGGCACAGTTGTAAGCAGATATCTAGAATATATTCATCTTGCTCAACTGAAACTTCATGACCGTTGCTTGGTAACTTGGCATTTCTCCCTCTCCCCAGACCTTGGCAACCATCATTCCACCCTGATTCTATGAATTTAACTATTTTAGATACCTCAAATTAGTGAAATCGTGCAATATATGTCTTTCTGTGACTGGCTTATTTCTCTTGGCCTAATGTCGCTAGGTGCACTTATGTTGTCACATATTGAAGCATTTCCTTCCTTTTAAAGGCTGAAGAGTATTTCACTGTATATACATTTCACATTTTTAAAAAAATTCATTCATCTGTAGGTGGATCATTTAGGTTATTTTCACATCTTGGCTATAATGAATAATGCTACAATGATCAAAGGAGTGCCAATATATCTCTGAGACCCAGATTTCAGCTCCTGAGTAAGTTCCCAGAAGTAGGATTGTTGGTTCATACAGCAGTTCTATTTTTAATATTTTGAGGAACCTCCATACTGTTTTCTATACCAAGTGCACCTTTTTGCACTCCCACCAACAATGTGCAAAAGTTTTAATTTCTCTACATTCTCACCAACATTTGTTGTCTTTTGTTTTTCTGATTATAGCCAAACTGACAGGTGTGAGGTAATATCTCATCATGGTTTTTATTTGTATTTCCCTGATGCTTAGTGACATTGTGTATGTTTTAATATACCTATTGGCCATTTTTAGTAGATCTCAAGCCAGGAATTTGAATGCACTGAAAAAAATGCAAGAAATTTCCAAGGGAGTATAAATACAAAGGCTATCAGATGTTTTTCCTAAAGGTAGTTAGTTACATTAATATGAAAACCCTATGTCATTTTACCTGGGGTGACTGAAAGAGAAAGGCAGAAAGCTTCAAATGTTGGTAATGACTTTAAAAAAATGATTAATAAAGTCCTTACGTGAAAAATCAAGCAATTCTCTAAATTTTTTCTTGTAGCTGTTTAATATGATTTATTGTGAGTTCTTTACCTTCCTGGTGGAATATTAATTAGTGCACACACACACACACACACACACTTATATCATTAATATTTTTTCAAGTCACTTAAAATATACTGCCTCTCCAGCCTTGTGATCTGTTCCTAAGACTGGTGACAAACTGCAATTGCTGCTGGCACAAAGATAAAGGAAATTGTAAAAATTATTACATGTCCTTAGGATTAATCAGTGATCTGAAAAACATAGTGAAAAAGAAACTATTACCTTTTTAGAGCTTTAACAATAGGCTCTGACTCAGACTGTTTTGTCCTGACCTTTCTATTTGAAACTGTGTCTAGGGTAAGTAACCACTACTTTCTCATGTGTAAAATAAATTTTCATTCTCTTTTTTAAAAGATTTGTTTTCAGAGAAGTTTAAGTTCACAGAACAATTGAGAAGAAGGTATAGAGTTCCCATCTACTCCCTGCCCCACACATGCATAGCCTCCCTCATTTTCAGCATCCCCTACCAATATGATACATTTGATAAACCAACATTGATACATCGTTATATAAACCAAAAATAAAATTCCAGTTCCCTGCCCCCAACCATCTGAATGGGCCCCTTCTCTCAGCCAAGGGCATTCCAAAGTTAACCTAGAAAACTAGTTTCAGACCCTGATGAGAAAGGGGAGCCAGAGGCCCCATTATACCCTCCTCCGTGTTGGAATTACTGATGGAACAGACTCTTTAAGTCTGATAAGAAACACTTACAATGCATTTTCTCTGAAGCCTGCTACCTGGAGGCTTCACCTACATGATAAAACCTTGGTCTCCACAACCCCATATTTTAACCCAGATATTTCTTTCTATTGATAATAACACTTTTAGCCAATTGCCAGTCAGAAAATCTTTGAATCTGCCTATGACTTGGAAGTCCACTCTTCCAGTCATCCTGCATTTCTGGACTAAACCCATGTACATATTACATGTATTGATTGATGGCTCATGTCTCCCTAACATCTATAAAACCAAATTGTATTCTGACCACCTTGAGGACACGTCATTAGGGCCTCCTGAGGCTGTGTCATGGGAGTGTACTTAAGTTTCACAAAACAAACTTTCTAAATTGATTGAGACCTGTCTCAGATACTTTTGGGTTCACAATTATCACCCAAAGTCCATAGTTTATATTAGAGTTTACACTTTATATTGCACATGCTAGGGGTTGGACAAAGGAAAATGACACACATCCACCATTATAGCATCATACGGAGTATTTTCATTACCCTAAAAATCCTGTGTGCTCTATTCATTCATCCATGCCCCCCATGGTTCTGACAAGTATTGATATTTTTATTGTTTTGTCTTTATAGTTTTAACTTTCCCAGAATGTCACATAGTTGGAATCATACAGTATGTAGCCTTGTCAGACTGGCTTCTTTCACTTAATATGCATTTAAGGTTCTTCCATGTCTTTTCATGGCTTTCCATAACTAAATAGCTTATTTTATTTTTTATTTATTTTATTTCATTTCATTTATTTATTTATTTATTTATTTTTGAGATGGGGTCTCGCTCTGTCACCAGGCTGGAGTGCAATGATGCAATCTCGGCTCACTGCAACCTCCGCCTCCCCGGTTCAAGCGATTCTCCTGCCTCAGCCTCCCAAGTAGCTGGAACTACAGGTGAGTGCCACCTGTAGTTCCAGCTACTTTTTATATTTTTAGTAGAGACAGGGTTTCACCATGTTGGCCAGGATGGTCTCGATCTCTTTACCTCATGATCAGCCTGCCTCAGCCTCCCAAAGTGCTGAAATTACAGGCATGAGCCACTGCACCCGGCCTTCCCCTTTAACACTGAATGATATTCCCTTGTCTGGATGTTCCAAGTTTATTTATCCATTTACCTAATGAAGAACATCTGGTTGTTGGCAAGTTTGGGCAGTTATTAATAGAGATGCGTTAAACACCTGTGTCCACATTTTTGTGTGAACATAAGTTTTCAGCTCTTTTGGGTGAATACCAAGGTGCATGATTGCTGAATAATATAATAAGAGTATATTTAGTTTTGTGAGAAATTGTCAAACTGTCTTCCAAAGTGGATGTACCATTTTGCATTCCCACCAGCAATTAATGTGAATTCCTGTTGCTCCACATCCTCACCAGCATTTGATATGTTTTGGAATTTGGCCATTCTAATAGATGTGTAGTGGCATCTCATTGTTTTAATTTGCATTTCCCGGATGACTTATGATATGGATCATCTTTTCATATGTTTATTTCCATCTGCATATATCCTTTGGTGAGATGTCTGTTAAGGTCTTGGCCCATAAAATGTATTTCCTTGGTACTAGTCTTATAAGTATTACTTTTCATATAGATATTTCCTAAGGAGTCATCAGATTGCTATTAAAATAAAAATAAATTTGGGGAATTTCAGGAGAGGAGTTTCATGTAATTATTACAAACATTCTGAATCATACTGTATTTGTTACATGCAATATGAGGAGCAAATCAGGTATTATATTTATAGTAGTAGAGTTCTTCCTGATTTTTGAAAGTGGAAAACCATTTCTACATTAAATCAATGCTGTAATATTTTATAAGTAGTGAACATCTACAGGTAATTTTTTAAAAATATGTTTTGGGACTAGTAGCCAAAGAAATTACTATTAAATTGGTATTTCTAAAGAAAACATGTCTTTATAAATAAAATACTCAAAGTGCAATGTAGTTCTGGAGCCCAGAGCTGTTTCTGGAACATCATAAGGGTTCAATAAATATTTGTATAATTAAATGAATTTTACAGATCCTGAAAGTGTTATGTATAGTAAACAAAAAGTAATATCCTTGTTAGACTAAATGCTTACTTTTCACCCATATCACATTGAAGAGTAAGATCTTCTAGAAAGCTATCATATCTTTAGAACTATTATGATTCCTTTGTTTATTACTAAACATTAAAATAATATAACTGTACATAGCAAGCCACTAATTAAGTATCAAAGATGGAATCATATTCGTTCAAACTAAAAGCTTTACTTGAAATTTTTAAAAGTCTAAAAATGAATAAAACTAAAATACGAGTTTTAAAATTTAGGATGCCAACTAACGAAAGCTGTTTTTTTAAAAGTCTGACCACGAATAAGGCATCTTCTATTTTTATTGCTTTTTATGCAGTAAGATAAAAGCTTGAGGCAAGGATTGGATCTAGGGTCATATTGACCCCTATGCCAAAGTAACTTTTGAGCTAAAATTTTATATGACATCCTGCTACCCAATTTATTCCAATGGATTTTTTAGATAACTAATATATAAGAATGAGATTTAAGCATACCCAATACATTTTTGTCTGTTAGCAACATTCTTTAATATTAGATGTGTGATTTATTTTTGCCAAAGAGACCCAAAGGATTGCAGTGAAACAAGGATAATTTAGATATTATTAACTATTTTCAAAATAGAAAAGCATTTTTTATACTACTCTCACTATTATTTATCTTTAGGTACTTTAGTACTTATTTATATCCCTATCTCAGGAAAGGAGAAAAATAGAGAAAGGAGGTAAAATTAAGAGAAATAATTATGACTAATTGCTTGAAAATGATGAAACATTAGGAGGGAAGACTGAAAACAGTCCTGAAGCAAGAATTCCTGGGGAGTCTGAATTTTAGCCAAAGATGATAAATTATATGAATCCTCTGATAGATTAGCCACTTGCACAATACTGCTTTTACCACTGGCTCTCTCTCTGTAGTCATCGGAAGAGATGACTTGGTCCAGATTTGAAGACAGTGCAGGTAGTGAAGGAGTATTGGTATTTGAGCTTCTCACAGTGACAGTTTACATTTAAGAATAAATTGTGCAGTTACAGTTCTCTAACATTCAGAATTTCTGGTTCAGTTTCAGTGTTAGACTACTTGTTTTAAACAAGAAACACTACACAGTGGTCTTTCCTGAATGGGATATGTTTCAAGGCCCCCATTAGATGTCTGAAACCTCAGGTAGTACTAAACTCTATATATACTATGTTTTGTCCTGTACATATGTATGATCAACTTTAATTTAAGAGGGCAGAGCAAGATGGCTGAATAGAAGCCTCCACTGATCGCTTCCCCTGCAGGAACGTCAAAATTTAACAACTAACTACACACACACAAAAGCACTGTCATAAGAACCAAAAATCAGGTGAGCAATCCAGTACCTGGTTGTAACTTCATATCATTGAAAGAGGCACTGAGAACATGAGAATGAGTAGGGAGAGGGAGACAGAGAATGAGGATGAATACTGTGTTCCTGAGTTGCTAATTCAGTGTGACTTGTTGAATGATAGGGTATTTTTTTTTATGATTGGGTATTTTTAATTTAAAAGAACTTAATGGGCAGGGGAGTTAATTTCACTCTTTTGTATTTCTTTCAATCATTTATTGTCTCTTCCTTTGTCATTTTCCTTTTCTGACTTTGGGCTAACGGGTGTTGACTTTGATTGATTGTCAGAGTTATATACCTCTGAGTATATATATTTTAAGTTTGAGTGATAACCATATGACCTATAAACAAAGGTAGTAGTTTCTTGGTTTTAGCTTCTCATCACTTCAGCCAAACTCTAGGGTAGATGTAAGTGAGGAAATTTTTGACTGCAATAGAAGAGTGGTACAATAAAATATTTATTTGAGCTAAATTATTTTATCCTAAAATAGCCTGAGCTTACTGTGTAATAGTATTCAAGTGCTAGGAATTATGAGACATTTCATAAAATTTCCAACATACTGCACTATTTGTTTTTATATACTGCTATATGAAGGTATGCCTTACATTTCCATATAAAATAAATATATTTCTAAAATTCAAAAAAAGAAGTATACAATAAATATTAGCTATTACCATTACCATAATATAATTTTTACTCTTAAAATTTGAATTCCTCTTGCTATCTTTATCTCTGAGTCTTTGTCTCTGTTTTGCCTAGCTCTATCTTTTGCCTAATGTTGTTCAATTTTCTCATCCCGTTGAATAAGAAATGAATACATAAACCATTAATCTGCCATTCAATTTATAATGGATATTTCTGGCAAAAATAACCAGCACAAATTAAAACTGAAAATGGCTATGACTGTATGTGGCAAAAATGTGATATTGACTAAAAGTGGAGCAAATCTTGAAATGCAGATCTGCAAAATTTGACCCAGGAAAATTGGATCTCATAGAAATAAGTCACTGAAGAAACCTCACACAAATAATACCTAAAATTGGTAAAATTTGATGCAGACAGAACTCTTGATGATTAAATTTTCACTCTGAAGTTTAAATAAAGAACTGTCAGACGTAACTTTAGGGCAAGCACAGTGGTTCATGCCTGTAATCCCAGCACTTTGGGAGGCCAAGGTGGGTGAATCATTTGAGCCCAGGAGTTTCAGACCAGCCAGGACAACATGGTGAAACCCCATCTCTACAAAAAATACAAAAATTATCCTGGCATGTGGCACGTGCCCAGGGTCTCAGCTACTTAGGAGGCTGAGTTGGGAGGATCAATTGAGCCTAGGAGGTTGAGGCTGCAGTGAGTTGTGATCATGCCACTGCACTCCAGCCTGGGCGACAGAGTGAGACCCTGTTTCAAAAAAAAAGAAAAAAAGAAATCACTTTAAGAAACCAAAAAGAATTAATCCCCAAAATTAAAACAGTGTTATGTAATATAAAAATTGATTCAAAAATAAAAAATAAAAAAAAGAAAGAGGCACTGAAGAGGGTAGTAAACACAGCTTGAATCACTGATGCCACCCCTCCCCCCTTTCCTTGGCAGTGGCCATGTAATGCAGAGAGAAAAACTGTGCACTTGGTGGAGAAACAGCACACTGCCTGGGAGACTTGGCATTGAACTCAGTACCATACTGCCCTGTCACAGCAGAAAGCAAAGCCATGCTAGGCTCATTTGGCACCCACCCATGAAGAGAACATTTCAATCAGCCCTAACCAGAATGGAATTACCCATTCCAGTGGTTGGAACTTGAGTTTCGGCAAGCATCACCGCCAAGTGCTAAAATCCTTTGGGGTCCTAGGTATACTTGAAAGGTAGCCTAGAACACAAGGACTGCAATTCCTAGGCAAGTCCTAGTGCTGGGCTGGGCTTACAGCCAGTGAACTAGGGTGGCCTATGACCTAGGGAGACACCAGCTGGGGCAGCTAAGGGAGTGTTTGCCTCACCCTTCTCCCAACTCCAGGCAGTGAAGCTCTCCTTCTGCTTGAGGGGAGGAGAGAGAAAAGTAAAGAGGACTTTGTCTTGCATCCTGGATACCAGCTCAGCCACATAGTATGGCTAGCTCATCCTTGGCTATAGCTTTTGGACAACATTTCCAGACAAACCCTGAGCCATAAGGGAATCTGCTGACTTGAAGGGAAGGACATTTGCCTAGCAGGATTCATCACTTGCTGACTAGAGAGTACATAGGCCCTGAATAACCAACAGGGATACCCAAGTAGTACACTGTGGGCATTGGGTGAGATTCTGAGAAATGCTGCCTTCAGGTGAGACTCAGCAAGTTCCCAACTGTAGTGACTATAGCGAAAGAATCCTTCTGTTTGAGAAAAGCAAAGAGAAAAGTGAAGGGAACTTTTTGTCTTGCACCTTAGGTACCAGCTCAGCCACAGTAAGGTACAGCACCAAGTGAGTGCTTGGGGTTCCTGAATCTAGTCCTAGGTTCTTGGACAGCATTTCTGGACCTGCTCTGGGCCAGATGGGAGCCCACTGTCCTGAAGCATGAGTCCCAGGCCTAGCAGCAGTAACCACAAGCTGACTAAAGATGCCTCAGGCTTTAAGTCAACATTGGTGGTAACCTTGCAGAATTCCCCATGGCCCAGTCATGGTGCTGGCCACTGGAAAAGGCTCCTGTTGCTATGGAAAGGTGAAAGAAGAGTGGGAAGGACTTTGTCCTATGGTTTGAGGGCCAGTTTAGCTGCAGTAGAATATAACACCAGATAGATTTGTGAGGTTTTTGACTCCAATATCTGGTCCCCAGATGGCATCTCTGGTCCCCAGATGGCATCTCTGGACCCTCCTGGGGCCTGGGTGAACTCAACGCCTAGAAGGGAAGGTCACAAACCTGGTTGGCTTCCCCACCTGCTGATTGTGGAGCCCTAGGGCTTTGAATGAATATAAGTGATAGCCAGGTAGTGGTTACAGCAAGCCTTGGGTAAGACCCAGTGCTGTGCAGGCTTGGGTAAGACCCAGTGCAGTCTCAGTGGTGGAAGCCACAGAGGTGCTTGCATCACTCCACCTGCAGTTTCAGGAAGCTCAGCACAGAGAGAGAGAGAGAGATTCCATTTGTTTTGGAAAAATAAAGGGACAAAACAAGAGCCCCTGCCTGATAATCCAGAGAATTCTTCTCAATCTTATTCAAGAATACCAAGGCAGTACTTCTATGAGTCTGCAAGAACTTCAGTGTTACTGAATTTAAGGATCAAGTGCCTTTAGATACCTGGAAAGCTGTCCCAAGAGGAATGGGCACAAACAAGCTGAGACTACAAAGACCACAATAAATGCCTAGCTCTTCAAGGTCCAGACACTGACAAACATCCACAAACATTAAGACCATGCAGGAAAACATGACCTTACCAAAAGAACTGGATAAAGTACCAGGGACCAACCTGGGAGAAATGGAGATATGTGACCTTTCAGACAGAGAATTTAAATTAGCTTTGTTTGTTTGTTTGTTTGTTTAGGTAACTCAAAGAAATCCAAGATAATACAGAGAAGGAATTCAGAAGTCTATCATATAAATGTAATAAAGAGATTGAAATAATTTAAAAGAAGAATCAAGCGGAAATCATAGAGTTAAAAAAAGTAATTGACCTGCTAAAGGATGCATCAGAGTCTCTTAATAGCAGATTTGATCAGGCAGAAGGAAGAATTAGTGAGCCTGAAGACAGGCTATTTGAAAATATAGTCAAAGGAGACAAAAAAGAATATAAAACAATGATACATGCCTACAAGATCTAGAAAATAGCTTCAAAAGGGCAAATTCAAGTTATTGGCCTTAAAGAGGAGGTAGAGAAGGAGATAAGGGTACAGAGTTTATTCAAAGGGATATTATCATAGATCTTCCCAAACCTAGAGAAAAATATCAGTATTCAAGTACAAGAAGGTTATAGAACACCAAGAAGACTTAAGCCAAAGAAGATTATCTTCAGGCATTTAATAATAATATTCCCCAAAGTCAAAGATAAAGAAAGTATCCTGAAAGCAGCAACAGAAATAAAACAAATAACATACAATGGAGTGCTAATACGGTTGGCAGCAGAGTTTGTAGTGGAAACCTTCAATGGAAAACTAGGAAAAAGTGGCATGACATATTTAAAATGTTTAAGGAAAATGCTTTTACCCTCAAATAGTCCATACAAATATATCCTTTAAGCATGAAGGAAAAAATAAAGGCAAACAAAAGCTGAGGCATTTCAACACCAGATACCTGTCCTATAAGAAATGCTAAAAGGAATTATTCACTTTGAAAGCAAAGGATGTTAATGAGCAAGAAGAAATTATCTGAAGGTACAAAACTCACTGGTAATAGCTAGCATGCAGAAAAACACACATTATTATAACACTGCAATTGTGGTATGTAAACTACTCTTAAGTAGAAAGACAAAATGATGAACTAATCAAAAATAATAACTACAACAACTTTTCAAGACATAGTACAATAAGACATAAAGAGAAACAACAAACAGTTCAAAAGCAGGGGGACAAAATTAAAGTGTAGAGTTTGTATTAGTTTTCTATTTGCATGTTTGTTTGTTTATGCACTGAGTGTTGTCATCAGTTTAAAACAATAGATTACAAGGGTATTTGCAAGCCTTATGGTAACCTCAAATAAAAAACAAACATACAATGGATACATAAAAATTAAAAAGAAAAAAATTAAATCATACCACCAGAGACAATAACCTTCCCTAAAAGGAAGACAGAAAGGATGGAAATAAGGAAGAGAAGATGAAAAAGCAATCAAAAAACAAATTTTAAAACGGCAGGAATAAGTCCTTACTTATTAATAATAACATTGGATGTAAATGGACTAACCTCTCCAATCAAAAGACATAAAGTGGTTGAATGGATTAATAAAAAAAAACCAAATGATCTGTTGCCTGTAAGAAACATCTATAAAGATTCAAATAGACTGACAACTAAGGATGAAAAAAGATATTCCATGACAAAGGAAACTACAAAAGAGCAGGAGTAGCTATATTTATGTCAGCCAAAATATCAGACAAAATAGATTTCAAGATAAAAACTGTAAGTAGAGACAAAGAAGACCATTATATAATGATCAAGGGGTCAATTCAGCAAGAATATATAACAATTGTAAATATATATGCACACAATGCTTGAGTACCCAGATATATAAAATCAATCTTATTCGAGCTAAAGAGAGAGATAGATGTCAATGCAGAAATAGCTGGAGATTTGAACACCCCTACTTTTAGCATTGGAGAGATCATCTGGATGAAAAATCAACAAGTAAACATTGAACCTAATCTGCACTATAAACCAAATGGACCTAATAGGTATTTACAGAATATTTCATCCAACAGTTCTATAATACAAATTCTTCTCCTCAGCACATGGATCATTCTAAAGAATAGACCTAGGTCACAAAACAAATCTCAGAACATTCAAAACAATTGAAATAATATTGTGATTGCCCAACAAGTTCACCTTTCCCACACCCTAGACAGAGCCAATTCATCAAGACAGGGGAATTGCAGTAGAGAAAGAGTAATTCGCACAGACCCAGCTGTGCAGGAGACTGGAGTTTTATTATTCCTGAGCATTCGGGGATTGGTGTTTTTAAGGATAACTTGGGGGTAGGGGATTGGAAAGAGTGGAGGGCTGATTGGTCAGTTTGGAGATGTAATCATAGGGGATTGAAGTGAATTTTTATTACTGTCTTCTGTTCCTGGGTAGGATTGCAGAACTGGTTGAGCCAGACTGCCAGTCTGGGTAGTGTCAGCTGGTGCATCAGAACACAAGGTCTGCAAAATATCTCAAATACTGATCTTAGGTTTTACAAGTGATGCTATTCCCAGGAGCAATTTGGGGAGGTTCAGACTCTTGCAGCAGGAGACTGCAAGGTCCCTAACCCATAATTTATAATCTTGTAACTAATTTGTTAGTCCTAAAAAGGCAGACTGGTCCCCAGGCAATGAGGGTTCTTTTTTCAGAAAAGGGCTATTATTAATTTTGTTTCAGAGTTAAACTGTAAACTAAATTCCTTCCCAAGGTTAGTTCAGCCTATGGTCAGGAATGAACAAGGACAGCTTAAAGGTTAGAATTAAGATGGAATCAGTTAGGTCTGATCTCTTTCACTGTCATAATTTCCTCAGCTACGATTTTTGCAAAGGCAGTTTCAATATTAAGCATCTTTTTTGACTACAATGGAATGAAATGAGAAATCAATAATGAGGAATTTTGGAAACAGTACAATCACATGGAAATTAAACAATATGCTCTCGGATGACCAGTGGGTAAATGAAGAAATTAAGAAGAAAATTCAAAAACTTCTTCAAGCAAATGATAATGAAAACACAACCTACCAAAACCTATGGAATACAGCAAATGCAGTACTAAAAGGGAAATTTATAGTTATATGTGAGAAAAAAACTTCAAATACATAACCAATGATGCATCTTAAAGAATTAGAAAAGCAAGAGCAAACCAAACCCAAAAGAAGTAGAAGAAAAGAAAATAATAAATATGAGAGGAGAAATAAATAAAATTGAAATTAAGAAAACAACACACACAAAAAAGAAAAAGCAAAAAAGATAACAAAAAAGAAAACAGCACAAAAGAACAATGAAACAAAAGTATTTTTTTGAAAAGATAAATAAAATTGACAATCAGAATAGTAAGTAAGAAAAAAGATAGAAGACCCAAACCAATAAAATCGGAAATGAAAAGAAGACATTACAACTGTTACTACAGACATTTAAAGGATCATTACTGGCTACTATGAGCAACTATATGCCAATCAATTGGAAAATATAGAAGAAATGGATAAATTCCTAGACACTTACAACCTGCCAACATTGAACCAGGAAGAAATCCAAAACCTGAACATACCAATAGCCAGTAATGAGACCAAAGCTATAATAAAAAGTCTCACAGTTAAGAAAAGCCTGAGACCCAGTGGCTTCACTGCTGAGTTCTACCAATTACTAGAATTAATACCAACCTTGTTCAAACTATTCTCAAAAATAGAGAAGGGAATACTTCCAATCTCATTCTAGAAGGTCAGTATTATCAACACCAAAACCAGACAAACACACATTAAAAAAAGGAAACTACAGGTCAATATCTTTGATGAATATTGATGCAAAAATTCTCAACAAAATACTGGTGAACTAAATGCAACAATAAAACAAAAAGATTATTCATCATGACCAAGTGGGATTTATCCCTGGAATACAACAATGGTTCTACATATACAAATTAACCAATATGATACATCATATCAACAGAATAGTGGACAAAAACCATATGACCATTTAAATTGATGCTGAAAAAGCATTCGATAAAATTCAACATCCCTTCATGAAAAAATTCCCCAAGAAACTGGGTAAGAAGGAACATAACTCAACACAATAAATGTCATATATGACAGACTCACAGCTAGTATCATACTGAATGGGGAAAACTGAAAGCCTTTCCTCTGAGATCTGGAACACAACAAGGATGTTCACTTTCACCAATATTATTCAATGTAGTACTAGAAATCCTAGTTATAGTAGTCAAACAAGAGAAAGAAATAAAGGCATCCAAACTGGAAAGAAAGAAGTCCAATTATCCTTGCTCACAGATTATATAATGTTATATTTGGAGAAAGATAAAGATTCCACAGGAAAACTGTTAGAACTGATAAACGAATTCAGTAAAGTTGCAAGATACAAAATCAACATACAAAAATCAGTAGCATTTCTATATGTCAACAGTGAACAATTCAAAAAAGAAATCAAAAAGTAATCCCATTTACAGTAGCCATAAATCAAATTAAATACCTAGGAATTAACTTCACCAAAGAAGTGAAAGATGTCTACAATGGAAACTATAAAACACTGATGAAATAAATTGAAGAGGACAGAAAACAATGGACAGATAGTTCATGTTCATGGACTGGAAAAATCAATATTGTTAAAATGTCCAAACTGCCCATAGCAATCTACAGATTCAATTCAATCATTATCAAAATACCAATGACATTCTTCACAGAAATAGAAAAAAAAATCCTAAAATTTGTATGGAACCACAAGAGATGAAAATAGCCAAAACTATCCTGAGTTAAAAAACAAAACTGGGAGAATCAAATTACCTGATTTCAACTTATACTACAGAGCTATAGTAACCAAAACAGCATGGTACTGGTATAAAAACAGACACATAGACCAATGGAACAGAATAGAGAACCCAGAATCATATCCATACATCTACAGTGAACACATTTTTGAGAAATGTGCCAAGAACATACATTGGGAAAAAACAGTCTCTTCAATAAATGATGCTGGGTAAAGGGGATATCCATATGCAGAAGGATAAAACTTGACCCCTATCTCTTGTCTTATACAAAATCAAATCAAAATGGATTAAAGACTTAAATATGAGATCTCAAATTATGAAACTGCTGCAGGAAAACATTGGGGAAACTCTATAGGACATTTGTCTGGTGAAAAATGTCTTGAGTAATACCCCACAAGCACAGGCAACCAAAGCAATAATGGATAAATGGGATCACATCAAGTTAAAATGCATCTTCACAGGAAAGGAAACAATCAACAAAGTGAAGGGACAAATCACAGAATGGGAGAAAGTATTTGCACACTACTCATCTCATAAGGAATTAATAACCAGAATATATAAGGACCTCTAAAATCTCTATAGGAAGAAAACCTAATAACCTCATTTAAAAAATGAGCAGAAGATTTGAACAGAAATTTTTCAAAAGAAAATATACAAATGGCAAAGAGGCATATGAAAATGTGCTCATTATCATTCATCATCAGAGAAATGAAAATCAAAACTACAATGAGATATCATCTAGCCACAGTTAAAATGGCTTTTATCCAAAAGTCAGGCAATAAAAAATGCTGGTGAGAATGTGGAGAAAAAGCCTCATCCACTATTAGTGGAAGTGTAAATTAGTACAACCACTGTGAACAGTTTGGACATTCCTCAAGAAACTAAAAATGTAGCTACTATACAATCCAGCAATTTACCCAATGGGGAGGTATCCAAAAGAAAGAAAATCAGTACATTGAAAAGATATCTGCACTCTGTATTTGCGGCAGTACTATTCATAATAGCCAAGATTTGGAAGCAACCTAAGTGTCCCTCAACAGATGAATGGATAAAGAAAATGTGGCATATATACACAATGGAACATTATTGAGCCAAGAAAAATAATTTGATCCTGTCATTTGCAAAAACATGAATGAAATTGGAGGTCATTATGGTATGTGAAGTAAGCGAGGCACAGAAAGACCAACTTCATATGTTCTCACTTATTTGTAGGAGCTAAAAATTAAAATAATTGAACTCATGGAGATAAAGAGTGGAAGGAAGGTTACCAGAAGCTGGGGAGGGTAGTGGCATAGTTGGGGGCAAGTGAGGATGGTTAATGGTTACAAAAAGCAGTTAGAAAGAATGAGTAAGACCTAGTATTTGATAGCCCAACAGGGTGGCTATAATTAATAATAATTAAATTATACATTTAAAAATAATTAAAAGAGTATAATTGGAGTGTTTGTAAAACAAGTGATAAACACTTTAGGGGGTGGATACCCCATTTACCATAAAGTAATTATTAGACATTGCATTCCTGTATCAAAGTATCTCATGTAACCCATAAATATATGTACTCACAAAAATTAAAAACTAAAATTTTTTTTAAAGTTTAATTTATAAATTAGACACAGTGAGAGATTAAAAACAATAACTAATCAAAATAGAATGATTATAACAACCTACTGTAATAAAAGTTATGTGAATGTGGTCTTCCTTTCTTTCTCAAAATACCTGATTACACTTTACACATCCTGCTTCCTCTTGTGATGGTGTAAGATGATAAAATGCCTACATAGTGAGACGAGATGAGGTAAATTACAAAGGCATTGTGAGCTAGCATTTAATACTTATGAATTGTTTATTGCTGGAATTTTACATGTAACATTTTTGGACTGTAGTTGACTGTAGTTACCTGAAGCTTTGGAAGGTGAAACCAAGGATAAAGGATGAGGGGAATACTGTGCTTATTTGTTGAAAATATGAATAAATGTGGAACTGAATGTAATATTCAAAGAATTTTCCATTTAGTTTCAAGCCCTGCTTGTGTACAAATATTTTCTTGTTTTAGTTAGTTGCAATCAAGAAGCAAATCCTCTGGGATTCAACTTTTTAGTTAGACTATAGAATACGTGAGACTTACAAAGAGGGCATTATCTTAAAAGATAATTGCAAGTACTGAACTATACTTCTCAGGCAAATAAGCCCATCAAATTTAATAAAATGTTGGGGTGCAACACAAGTGAAGTGGAAAGCTCTCAGAATTAAACTGACTTAAGTAGGCTTTTGATTTGTATAGGAAGTAGATTATTTGTCATTGATTTTCAAATCACTGGTTACACATCTAAATAGGCATAATTAACAGATATGTCTTGGTTTTGGAGATATTAACACTTTATGTCAAAAGTTGCTCTCATAAAACATACTAGATAATGAGATCCTAGTGTGTATTTTATGATGTGTGTGAATCTGTATGTTTAAGCCTGAGAATATTAATGGTTTATGGACCAGTTAGTGCCTTTGGTTAAAATGAAATGATTATGCTAATGCACTTAATGTCATGAGTTGGAATCTTACAAAGTAGAATTCCCATTGAGTTATATGTAGTATCTTCCATGGTTGACAACTGCATGCCTTAGCTTGGCTATTTCCAAAATGTCTTGTTGATTCCATGATGACATAAGAAAGTAGCAGCCATTTTCAGCCATGTAAATACAGTACAAGTAATAAGCACGATATCTAGCACATAGTAACTGTTCTGTAAGTATTAATAATTATTGGTACTACTACACAACTGCAGTACTTTAAAGATAGCCAATAGGTTAGTTTCTACTAATAGTAAATAATATCAACTTCACAAATGAAGTTCACACACAGTTATAATAGATGGCTACAATTTTTATAGCTATGATAAATATTTGCACTTAAGAACATATGTTCTTTATTTCTACAAAAAATTGGCCTCTTCTTGACATCTGCAGAAGATCATTCTATTGGATAATGCTACCTAAAAGTGATTCTAGGTAGCATTTATAATTTAGGTATTTAGGTATTTAGAAAAGGTATTTAGAAAAACAGAGAGGAAAGAATAGAATGTTTGCTATTTTTATATTTCCTAGAAGATGTGCCCAATATTTACCAAGATCTGATAGTATTCAATACAAATTACAGAATTTTCAATCTGCATTTCTTCTGGCAAAGTCATTTGGATTATAGTCATATCTATAATTTTATAATGTTAAAATCTTACAAGGGAAATAAACCTCAATTAGTTTACATTCTATTAGGCAATTAATCATAGTGTGTGTCTATTGAGAAAAAGAGGTAAAGATAATACCAGTGCATGAAGATTTTCTGGCAGGGCAGACAATAAAACTCACATAATCCTTTCACTAGAGTGAAGGTAGAACAATGAGAGGGAGCTTTCAGGTCAACAGATTCGTACAAATCAAAAGCTGAAAGGGCCTTCTGGATAAGCACATATTATCTTGTAACACTGATTACAAAAGAGATATCGTCCACATTTTAATGTGACAATTGTCATAAGAGCCATGGCCTCCATAGTCGACCTTGAATAACATCAAATTTTATTGTGATTCCTTGTAAATTTTCATAAAACATGATTAATTGCTTCTTCAATGACCTCTTTTACATCATTCCTCAGTCTGTTTATCTAGTGGTTCTAATTTTCAAAGAACTTCCTTTCTAATTTTACTAAAATTAAGAAATCTTAAGCAATTTTTGCTATTCCTTGTACAAATCTACATTCCTTACTTTTTAGGGAGATTTGTCTTAGATGAAGCTTGGAATTGTAAACTCACATTAAAATATATAAGCTGGAGACACTGTGCTTAGGTAGAATATCTTTCATAAAAGAAGACATTTCTGGGATTTCCATACTAAAAATAGTAAAAATGTATCATTATATTAAGACATAAGAAAATGCCCTAATTAAAGGAAATTAATTATCTTCAGGAGAATTCTTCTTAAATAGTATTTAAACCATATAATCTGAACTTGGGAGCAAAAATGTACAACTGCCAACAGTGTGAAGGGCAAATAATAGGTCCTGAACACATTTTATAGGATAGTGTGTGTCATTTTAGTAGGGGGTTCTTAATCCACATCAGCATGAAATGTTTCCTTGACAGTTGACAGAATTCATTAAAAGACGAATAAATCTCAGAATGAAATGTTAAGGAGAAATTGAACCTATTATTTGGTCAACTATGTAGTCTGTCGGTAAATTTACCAGGAAAATGGAATGGCCCATTAACCCTAATGGGAAGGATAGCAAGGTGTCTGTGGAGTGGTGAGATTTAATTCATCAGTACCACACACTAATGGTAATTACTTAAAACATGTAGTTGGATCACATGGTGCTTTAAGTTACATAATTCAGACATTTTGTTAACCAGGACATCCTGACCTTCTGTTTTCTGTCTCTGTAAGTCAGATAAATGAAATCTATTCCAGGTAACGCTTGATGTAGTGTGTTTTGTATTTAATTGATTATGGGAATACTTATAAAAGCAGTTTGTCAGTGTGCAATGCTACAAAATGCTGTCTAATTGGACATCAAATACGCTGGCCCCATTATACCCTAAAACGTGAACAGAAAAGCTAAATCCAAAGATAAACTTTCCTCTATTATGAGCTGTGTTTTGGTAATTGATTTAATCACACTCTTGAACAATGATCCTGTTTCTGAGCCTTAGTTTCTTCTGTTGAACATGCAAGTGCTTTTTAAAATATATGTACTCAAATGTATGGCTGAATAACTTAATACCTACTGGGAATTAATGAGTTCTGTCTACTTAGTGTCAGGTTGGATGAAAACCATCTACCATTGAATAAGAAACTGGAAAAGCATCTACCACCAGATACAATTTTATTGTGGATATTCACTGTTTTGGTAAAGTAAAGTAAGAATACTGCATGTATCAAAAGAGTTCCAAGTATACACAGCAGCCAGAGTAAGAATGCACAATGAAGTTCAGGTCATGTCGGTCCTATACTCAAAATCCTCCATTTCTAAATGTAATGTGGTATTCTAGATTAGATCTGAATCAAGAAAAGAGTAAAAAGACATTAGTGGAAAAACTGGAAAATCCAAACAAAGTCTGTAGTTTGGCTCCTAGTATTGTACCAATATCCATTTCTTAGTTTCAATAGATTCACTAAGGTTATATAAGATATTAACGTTAGGGGAAGCTGGGTGACATATATACAGGATCTGCATGGTATCTCAGTAACTTTTCTACATATTTAAAATTATTTAAAAATAAGGCATCTATTCAAAACAAA
Organism: Homo sapiens; assembly: GCF_000001405.40. Taxonomy (NCBI): domain Eukaryota; kingdom Metazoa; phylum Chordata; class Mammalia; order Primates; family Hominidae; genus Homo; species Homo sapiens. The sequence goes on from NC_000014.9 coordinate 38,353,824, forward strand.
ACAACCACCATTTGCTTCCCGCATCACACCTAGTAAAGCCAGAGGCCTTACCATATTCTGCAAGTCCCTATGTGTTCTCTGATCTCAACTCTAATTGCTCCCTTCCATGCTCACTGCTCTCCAGCCACACTGGCCTTCTTGCTCTTTCTCCAACACACCAGGCATGATCCCAATCCAGGGCCTTGGCAGGTGTTTCTTCTCTCCTTAAAACATCTCCCTCCAGATATCCACAAGGCTCACTCATATCCTTCCAGTCTTGCCCTAGAACTTAAAGTATAATAATAATTTTTAAAAAAAGACATCAGTGAGGCCATGCCTGGCCTTGAATGATCTCCCTGCTAGAAAGTAAACTCTAAGAAGCTAGGGAAATTAGTAGATTTTTTTGTTTTCTGCATTATCCCCTGTGTCTAGAGCAACACTTAATAGATAGGGGCCCCCTGATTAATCCTGTTTGAATAAATGAGGTCCTTAAAATACATTGATAATCATCTAATGTCATAAAATCATATTTTTTGAATAAAGGGTGATATGGTTTGGCTGTATTCCCACCCAAATCTCATCTTGAATTCCCACATGTTGTGGGAGTTACCTGGTGGGAGGTAATTGAATCATGGGGGCAAGTCTTTCCCATGCTGTTCTTGTGACAGTGAATGAGTCTCATGAGATCTGACAGTTTTAAAAAGAGGCATTCCCCTAAACAAGCTCTTTCATTTTTTGCCTGCCACCATCCATGTAAGATGTGACTTGCTCCTCCTTGCCTTTCACCACGATTGTGAGGCTTCCCCAGCCACGTGGAACTGTAAGTCCAATTAAACCTCTTTCTTTTGTAAGTTGCTCAGTCTTGGGTATGTCTTTATCAGTAGCATGAAAACTAGTACATTAAATTGGTACCAGTAGAGTGGGGCGCTGCTGTAAAGATACCCCAAAATGTGGAAGTGACTTTGGAGCTGGGTAATAGGCAGAGGTTGGAACAGTTTGGAGGGCTCAAAAGAAGACAGGAAAATGTGGAAAAGTTTGGAACCTCCTAGAGACTTGTTGAATGGCTTTCTCCAAAATGCTGATAGTGATGTGGACAGTAAAGTCCAGATTGAGATGGTCTCAGATGGAGATGAATAACTTGTTGGGAACCGGAGTAAAGGTTACTCTTGCTATCTTTTAGCAAAGAGACTGGCAGCATTTTGCCCCTGCCCTAGAAATTTGTGGTAATTTAAACTTGAGAGAGTATCTGGCAGAAGAAATTTCTTGAGAGAGGTATCTGGCAGAAGAAATTTCTAAGCAGCAAAGCACTCAAGATGTGACTTGGGTGCTGCTAAAGGCATTCATTTTTACAAGGGAAGTAGAGCATTAAAGTTTGGACAATTTGAGACCTGACAATGCGATAGAAAAGAAAATTCCATTTTCTGAGAAGAAATTCAAGCCGGCTGCAGAAACTCGCATAAGTAACAAGAAGCCAAATGTTAATCCCCAAGACAATGGGGAAAATGTCTCCAGGGCATGTCAGAGGTCTTCACCCAGCCCCTCCTATCACATGCCCAGAGGCCTAAGAGGAAAAAGTGATTTCAGGGGCTGGTCCCAGGGTCCCTGTGCAGGCTAGGGACTTGGTGACCCACATCCCAGCTGTTCCAGCCATGGCTGAGAGGGGCCAACATAGAGCTCAAGGTGTGGCTTCAGAGGGTGCAAGCCCCAAGCCTTCACAGCTTCCACATGGTGTTAAGGCTTCAAGTGCACAGAAGTCAAGGTTTGGGAACCTCCACCTAGATTTCAGAAGATGTATGGAAACGCCTGGATGCCCAGGCAGAAGTTTGCTGCCGGGGTGGGGACCTCATGGGGAACCTCTGCTAGGGCAGTGCAGAAGGGAAATGTGGGGTGGGAGCCCACACACAAAGTCCCTACTGGGGCACCACCTAGTGGAGCTGTGAGATTAGGGACACTGTCCTCCAGACCCCAGAATGGTGGATCCACTGACAGCTTGCACTGTGCACCTGGAAAAGCTGTAGACACTCAACATCAGCCCATGAAAGTAGCCATGAGAGAAGCTGTACCCTGCAAAGCCACAGGGGCAGAGCTGCCCAAGACCATGGGAATCCCCCTTTTGTATCAGCATCAAAAGAGTCAAAGGAGATCATTTTGGAGCTTTAAAATTTGACTGCCCTGCTGGATTTTGGACTTGCATGGGGCCTGTAGCCCCTTTCTTTTGGCCAATTTCTCCTATTTGGAATGGCTGTATTTATGCAATGCCTGTACCCTCATTGTATCTAGAAAGTTACTAACTTGCTTTTGATTTTGCAGGCTCATAGGTAAAATACTTTGTACTGTGGACTTTTGAGTTAATGCTGAAATGGGTTAAGACTTTAGGGGACTTGTTGGGAAGGCATGATTGGTTTTGAAATGTGAGGACATGAGATTTGGGAGGGGCCAAGGGCAGAATAATATGGTTTGACTGTGTCCCCACCCAAATCTTATTTTGAATTCCCACATGTTGTGGGAGGGACCTGCTGAGAAGTAACTGAAGCATGGGGGCAAGTCTTTCCTGTGCTTTTCTTGTGATAGTGAATAAGTCTCACAAAATCTGATGGTTTTAAAAAGAGGTGTTATTCCCTTACACGAGCTCTTTCATTTTTTTGCCTGCCACCATCCACGTCAGATGTGACTTGCTCCTCCTTGCCTTCTGCCATGATTGTGAGGCTTCCCTAGCCATATGGAACTGCAAGTCATGTCAAGCCTCTTTCTTTTTTAAGTTGCTCAGTCTTGGGTATATCTTTATCAGCAGTATGAAAACCAACTGATACAAAGAGTATTCCTCTTTTCATTATTCCACCACTCAACATGTTGTTTAAGTAATGGCTTCTATTTATTATTATTGATAACAAAAATGAAAGCAAAGGATATAGCTTCATTTCTAGATCGTGGACAGAGTTGCTTGTAAAAGTAATTTATTTTTTGACCCTCATACTAATTAATTGATATGACAGTTATTTTACAAAGATGCTTTATTTCATCCCTTCGAGTATACTAGCAAAACACATTATCAGCCTGTTTTCTAAACTTCCACATGTTCTTTTCATACTTACAAATGTTTCCTCATTTTGTCCCCTTGTAACTATGTCTATTGTTAATCATTGCTTCTGTTTGTGAATAAGTGACTTGAGAAGCAGAGGATTTGGATTTCTAGCTCAGGCAAACATTTAAATGTAGTCTAGACAATGCAATCCAAGAAAAGTAAAAGAGCACTATGTATACTTCATTTACACCCCACCATCACTTCTACACACTAATTATATTATAAACCTGAGCATGCTGATATCCCTAATTTCTATATTTCTAAGGCTATTGTTTTTAAAACAAAAATTCTACTTTTAATATTTTTGCACAGAAGGATGTTTATTATTTAAATAAAGATACATGTTCATGATAAAATCATAAATATTATCCAGATTCTATGTAAGCAAACATTAGGAGTGTGTCATAATGGTGATGGTGGGCTACACATTATCAATTAGAGGAGGAGACATTGTTGCCATAAAGTCCTTCCACCTTTCCCCCCGAAAAGGATTGACAAGTAAATGTCCAAAAAATGTTCCAGTATTCTATGCTAGTATAGTCTGTAAAGAAAAAAATATTTATTTTACTTTTTTAAATTATAATTACCTCAACACAGTGTCACTTATACTTTTGTGAAAGCTCACAATTTGTGATACTGACACTCTCATGTGCACTGTCTCTGCAAAGAGGTATTTTAGATATCTTGTCCCCAAGGAAGACAATGGGACACTGCAGCTTAATTGCCTATGAAGCCCTTGCTCCCCACCTCTAGTTTTTCGATTATTTTACTTTATCTAATGTTTTCACATTTCCTCTGCAATCTGTCATGGAGATGTCTTTGGTATGTGTTCTCCACTCTCTAGGATGTGACTCATCCTGGCCAGGAAACTTGGAACACATTTAGAACTGCCAGCTGTTTTCTTAGGTTGTTCTACCCAATCTTGGAGTTCCTTTTCTTCTTAACAATATTTTTTTGCTTTTTAGTGCCAGTATTATTCATGATAGAGAATAAAAAATCAGGGTGCTAATCAGAAAGATATTGCAGAAGTAAAAAGCAGCATATTATAGAGGCAAATTACATGCAAAAGTTCAGGAAATCATGGAGCTGGAGACAATTTCCAGGAATTTGGTTTATGTGGTATATCAGAGTTCTCGAGAGAAACAGAATCAATAGGATGCATGAATAGGTAAGTAGCTAGGTAGATGGATAGATGATAGAGAAAGAGATTTATTTTAAAGAACTGGTTCACATGATTATGTAGGCAGAGATGTTTCAAGATCTATACTCAGCAAGCTAGAGACCCAGGAGATTACATGGTGTAGTTTCAGTACAAGTCTGAAGCTTGAGAATCAGCGGGGAGCAGATGGTATAGATTCCAGTCCAAGTAAAAGTTCAAAGGGAGGAGAAGACTGATGTTCTAGCTCAAAGACAATCATGTGGAGAGAGTGAATTCTCCCTTGCTCAAACTTCTCGTTCTAAACAGGCCTTCGACAGATTGGATAGGCCCACCTACATTGGGAGGACAATCTGCTTTAGTCAGTCTACTGATTGAAATGTCAGTCTCATCCAGAAACACCCTCACAGTCATACTCAGAATAATGTTTAGCCAAACATGGGGGCACCCTGTGGCCCAGTCAAGGTGACATAAAATTAACCATCACAGGTGGTCCAGTGAATTGTGATGTTTTCACAAGCAGGAAGAGAAGAAATATTGGACTTATAGACATGCACAGTGTGAGGTGGTCATGGAATATCCAGTTGGAAACATAGATTTGAGCCCAGAAAAGATTTTACATTCTAGCCTTAAATTTGGTGAGAGCTGAAGACATAGACATGGATGAAATTGCTTAGGAAGAACACATAGATCCATCGACTCCATTATGTATTGAACATCTATTATATTAAGAGTAAATAGGCACTAGAAATATAATTAACAAAATAAAGACAATTCTTACCATAAAGAAACTTAACTTCTAGGGAGGGAGAAAAAAAATCAAACAACTGAGTAAAGAAACAAAGAGATTATACCATCAAAAGTATGGTAAGTACAGAATAGAAAAAATGTCCTATCCATAAGAAGATATAACAAGAGAATCTGACTTAATCTGGAGTAATTTGGAAGACTTCCTTGGGTGAGTGACATTTACACAAAGACCTGAAGTTTGCATAGACTAAGCAAAAAAAGGATGGCATTAGAGAGACTAAAATACAGATTTATGTCTGCAACATTGCAATGAAGAGAAGAAATGTCAAGACCCAAGATTATAGAGGTAGTTACGGTCAGCTCATTCAGGGTCTTCTAGGTAATTCGAAGGTTTAGCAGAATGAATTACTGGTCACAATTCCTCACCCCCCGGTAGTAGTATTATGCATCCATCCCTTGTCATGTCTTCACGATAAGCACAGAATACTATTTCATCGCTTGATTTTGGATTTGACCACGTGACTTTCTTTGGGAGGTAAGATGTTAGTAGATATAATATAAGCAAAAATTTGAAGTGGGCATTTGTGTAGATTAAAACAATTTTTCCTCTTTCCACCGAGAATACTACTGTGACCAAATGTGTGGGAGTTTCCCCACCCCAACAGACACGCCAAGTATCTTGGCCCATTTTCTGTTGCTTACAACAGAATACCTAGAAAGGAGTAATTTATAAAGAAAAGGGATTTTTTTTTTCTTACAGTGATAGAGGCTGAGTCCAGGGTCAAGGGGTCATATCTGGTGAGGGCATTCTTGCTGTGAAGACTCTCTGCAGAGTCCTGAGGCAGCACAGGGCATCACGTGGTGAGGGGGCTGAACATGCTTGCTCAGAGCTCTCTTTTTCTTCTTATAAAGCCACCAGGCCCATTCTTGTGATAACCCATTAGTCTATTAATCCATTAAAAGATTAATCCATTCATTTAATAATGGATTCACACATGAGGGCAGAGCCTTCATGATCCAATCAGCTCTTAAAGGCCCCACCTCTCAATATTGCCACATTGGGAATTCAGTTTCCCATAAGTTTTGGAGGAGACAAACATTCAAACTGTAGCACCAAATAATCAATTCTACGGTTAACACTGTCTGAGTATCCTCTGATTTGGTTTAGTTCTGATGCTATTTATCTGGAGATAGCATCAGATCCCACAGGTTGAAGGCTCAGTTCTTAAGACTGTCCCCTCACAACCTTTCAGATGCCAAACAAGAGCCCCAGATTGTTGTACCCGTTTTGTACAGAACCAACCCAGATGTTGTACCAGATAGTTATAGCTTCTGGCTGACCAGCTACAAATCAGGGTTTCCACAACCTCCTCCTCAGGTTTGGTTAATTTGCTAGAGCAGCTAATAGACTTCTGGGAAACACTAACTTATGTTTACCAGCTTATTACAAAGGATATATTAAAGGTTACAAATAAATAGCTAGGTTAAGAGACACATAGGGCAAGTTCTGGAAGGATCTCAAGAACAGAAGCATCTGTCCCCATGAAGTTGGAATGCATCACCTTCCTGGCATATAAACGTCTAAGCCCCCACGTGTTCAGCTGTCTACAAGCTCTCTCCACCCAGTCCTTTCGGTTTTTATGGAAGTTTCATTACTTAAGCATTATCAATTTAATTATTGGCCACTAGTGATCAACTTAACCTTCATCCCCTCTCCCCTCCCTGGAGGCTGGATGGTGGAGCTGAGTAACTCCTCTAATCCTGCTGTGTGGTCTTTCCAGTGACCAGACTCCATCCTGAAGCTACCTAGTAGCTGTCAGTCATCAGTCAACTTATTAGCATACAAAAAGACACTTACCACTATGAAGATTTCAAAGATTTAAGGAATTGTATGTCAGAAAACTGGGGACAAGGACAAAATATATATTTTACAATATCATTGCATGAATGGTTGGCCTTATCCTCTTGCACTTTTGTCAGCACCATGAAAAGAGTTTGCACCAGCCAGGCTACTGGTCAAAGGAGGATGAGAGACTTATGGAGACCTGGAACCAACTGCATTTGGAATGGAAGCCAGTTTAACTCTGAGGTTACCTTCAGCCAGCTTGGAGACATGAGAGTAGAGTAATGCATTGTTGTTCTCTACCACTGAGCTTTGAGATATTTTACACAGCAAAAAATGACTAATACAGAGGCCTTGAAGAAAAACAATGTTTAAGAGTTAAGCTAAGGGAAAGGAACCAGAGGAGAGGAAAACACTAAAAAGAAGAAATTAGAGAGGCAGAAGGAAAATAATGAGGGAAAAAGTATTGAGGATATCGGGATTAGGGAGAATTTCAAGGCAGAAATGGTCAAATTCCACAAAGAGATCACACCGGATACAGAGTTAAAAATAAACTACTGAATTTGTAAATTATGTGTTCAATGTTTTTGAGCTTTGCCAAAACAGGTTCAGTTAGTTGGTAGAAACAGAAATCATATTGCTGTGGGTTAAAGGACAAGTGGAAAGGGAGAAAGTAGAGGCAGGATATGTAGACCATGCTTGAGTGTTATAATTAGATGGAGGGAGGCAGGTGTCAGGGAATAACACAAAGACCACAAGAGAAAAGTTAGAGTTGAATTTGCCTCCTTTGCAAGTAGAGGAGAACCAAGTCACTCAGAAAGAGTTCGGCAGGTCTCCACAAGCTGAAAGAGGAAGGATGAAATACGAGGCCAAAGAGAGAGTTAACTCCATATGAGAAAGGATTATTTGCATTAAATTCTAATTTATTAAGGAAAGTATTATAAATTATCTCTTTGAATTGATTATTACTTTGCTTTATGTCACAAAAATATAACAAAGTGTTTTAAGAGTCTCATAAATGCTGTGTTAGGCTTAAGATAGTGGAGCAGTCAGTTTTTTATGCACTTTTAAATGCTCGGCACTTGGCACATTTTTCTTTTCCCCGAGGTGATGACTTGAAGAGGAGGCATAGTCAAAAGAATTGCTTTTAGAATGAAGATATTTTGAACAGGTTTCTAGTTTTAAGAGAAATTTTGGTGGAGAGAGAGTGCAAGAGTGACAAATCTATGAAACAGAGTTAGACCAAGAGCTTCAGAAAGAAGTAGAACTACCTCCTCCTCCGACTGAGTAGGTAGGTAACCTGGAATGAAGATGAGGTTGAGGGGTAGAAACTGAAGGCAGAAAGACTTCCTTCCTGTTGACTGCTACTTTCTCTGAAACAGTGAAGATGGATCATCTGCAAGAGTGAAAGGATGGTAGACATACACCTTCTGTAATCGCCTTCTTGTTCCAAATATAATTTTAAGACAAAAGTTTTCCCCGTAGCAACTTTTACATGTCTCAGTTCAGTTTCTATTTTAACTTTTATTATAACCCTTCCTAACTTAATCTAAAATTCATAAATATAACATGAAGAATAAATTGATAAAATTGTGAAAGGCAGCCGGGCGCGGTGGCTCACGCCTGTAATCCCAGCACTTTGGGAGGCCGAGGCGGGTGGATCACGAGGTCAGGAGATCGAGACCATCCTGGCTAACATGGTGAAACCCCGTCTCTACTAAAAATACAAAAAATTAGTCGGGCGTGGTGGTGGGCGCCTGCAGTCCCAGCTACTCGGGAGGCTGAGGCAGGAGAATGGCGTGAACCCAGGAGGCGGAGCTTGCAGTGAGCCGAGATCGCACCACTGTACTCTAGCCTGGGTGACAGAGCAAGACTCCGTCTCAAAAAAAAAAAAAAAAAAAAAAAAAAAAAAAGTGAAAGGAAATGTGTCAATTGGCACAAAAAACGTTAAATGTGTATACACTTTGATTCAGTAATACCACTTCTAGGAATTTATGAAAATTGGAAAATGACATACAAGTTTGGTAATTGAAGAATTGTTTATATTAGTAAAAAATGGATTAACCTAAATATACATCAACAAGGATTTTTCAAAGTAAACTGTCATATAAGCATACACACAATAAAATTCTATGCAAAAATAAAAATTATGATACAGATCTATTATTTATGTCTACAACAATGTGTTTATATTTTGTGTGTGTGCACATGTACAAATATGAATACAGACCAAAATCTTAATAGCACTTATCTATGGGTTGAAAGATATGGAGTAGTTTTTCCTTTCCTCTTTTTACTTTTTGCATTGTTTGAATTTTTTTATAATAAGCATTTATTATAGCTGTTATATAAACGAGCCAAAGATTGCCTCTGTATATACGTCAGTTTGTTCATTTCTTCACTGCAGGCTGAGACACATTAGTTCAAAAGCCCACTAGCACCAACCTTAAACTTGACATATCCAATTGTTTCAAAAATACAGATTTTTAACTGTTTAGAGTCTGCCTGCTTTGCATACCCTGTGAAACCTTACCTGACAGCTGTTACCCATTGATAAGGTAAAACATTGTGGTTACAAAACCAAACTGCTATGGCCCTTTGGAGGTCTCTGACCCAGAGACCTCTGTCAGATTGCTGAGTGACATCACTTATATAGGAAGCACCGTTTCCGATCTTGCTCTCACCCAGGGATTCCCTTGCCCTCCTCATCTCCTGGAGGATGGCTCCCCATCTGAAGCCTCTGGATGATCGTGTGCTGTGACGGATTTCCCCTCTTACGCAATTCGGTAGAAGTGCTGCTCAATAAAGTGTGTTGGGTGTTACTGCCTTTCATGGTCACATATGTTACATTGATCAGCCTCAGAATCCCTTGAATACCATCTCCCAACCCCCAGGTCTTTGTAATAACACATAATAATAACAAAGTGGTGTTATTAAACCAGTTTTCTTTTTTTTAAGAATTTAAATGGGTCCCTACCCTGTGCCAAAGAAAACCTGGGCAGAATCAAGCTTCCAAGAAAAGATGCCTTGCAAAGCCTGGACCCAGGGAAGCTTAAGCTTCTAGTCAGGGTTTCGGTATTGACAACCAAGTTCAGACAGAAACTATCCTGTGAAATCTCAGCCGGCCGGGCGCGGTGGCTCACGCCTGTAATCCCAGCACTTTGAGAGGCCGAGGCGGGTGGATCATGAGGTCAGGAGATCGAGACCATCCTGGCTAACAAGGTGAAACCCCGTCTCTACTAAAAATACAAAAAATTAGCCGGGCGCGGTGGCGGGTGCCTGTAGTCCCAGCTACTCGGGAGGCTGAGGCAGGAGAATGGCGTGAACCCGGGAAGCGGAGCTTGCAGTGAGCCGAGATTGCGCCACTGCAGTCCGCAGTCCGGCCTGGGCGACAGAGCGAGACTCCGTCTCAAAAAAAAAAAAAAAAAAAAAATCTCAGCCATAACCACAAAATCACATTGTCCTGGATTTTTATCTCAAATACCCTTTGTTTTTAATATTACCCAGGCTCTATAGCTGGTATGTAGGTAGCAGATAGTCTAAGTGTTATTTCAGGGTAGTTTTCCAGTTCTTTATCCATATAAGTCATCAGGGACCTACCACAACTCCCTCCTTCCCCTCCTATGATATTTGCTCCTTTTATCAAAGTTTGTTTCGTGGATTCATCTAAGTGTTCTCCCTCATTCCCAGTAAGATTGCAGACCAGCAATCTTGTATGCTTCTCCCCTCAAGGAGTGCTCCCCTCAATTTGGAAAGGGTTCTCTTCTCAATATCTTCAACTGTGTTTCAGTATCCAAATACAGTTTGTTGATAGCATCTGCATCTTTCAAGTCTTTCCCCGCTTGCAGGGTAGAGAGCTGCTCCTTAACTCTCCACCCCGACTCCCTAAACTATCCTTGCTGATTAGGTAAGTCTTGGTTACTAACTAGGAAATGATCATCAATTACCACCGGACTTTAAGTGTACTATATTTATATATCTATATGTATATTCCTATCTTCCAGACTCTGGTGCAAATTTGCAAATTGAGCAGACTATTTTTTATTGGACATTCTAAGCTGCTATACAGCTACTATATATTGAAGCTTTATTTAACTTAAATAGATGAGATAGGTGGAATGAATGATTTTCATTTTACATTTAGGAACCTGAATCATCTTTGAGAAAGCAGGAGAGAAACTTGGCCACAGAGTTAGAGGGAAGGAAGCTATTTTCCTGAATTCCAATTCCATGTTCTTTGGAGATCTTCCTTGATAATCTTTGTCGCCTTTCTCCTCAACTAGAAAGTGCTTAGCGTTACTATCCCTCATGTGAGACATCCTGTGCTCTGACAATGGAAAATGAAAAATCATACTCAAAGATCTATTTTTGTTCACTTCCAAGCAAAGTATAGATAAAGAAGATCCAAAGAGGTGCTTGAATGGAATTTTCAGTTCATGTAAGTGTCCACATTTCTCTCTCCTGACTATTTCAAAAGTGATTGCTAGTTGAATGTGCCTTTGTAGCATGTCAGTATAAACCATTTTGATAGAATTATATGTTTCCTTTTCACCTAAGATCCTCCTTTCCCCTAAACCTTTTGTTCTGTTCTTGTCTCTAATTCTGTCTCTTCATTGGAAGTGATTTACTCAGGATACAAAAGTCACTCTCTGCTTCTTTCCAAATGTCAGTCCTCAGAACTTTCTCACACACTCTTAGAACCATATCAGAAATAAAAAAGACTCTCAAATCAGGCTTTAATTACAATCACTCTTGAGGGCACATCAGCCTCTCAATAACGACTAAGTTCACAGTATTCAAAGAACAACTCAAAGTATAGCATGTCCCAGTGCCCCACATTTTTCAGGCACTAAACGGTCTCATCATTTTTTTAGTTTCTTTTTTTTTAAGCAAGAAATATGCTTCAAAGAATAAATTTACAGACTTCAGTTTTTACACTTGGTTCACTGTTATGTATAATTAACACATTCCTGTTCTCCTCTCCACTTAATTTAGAACAACATTAAATTTCCATGCAGCTCATCAAAAGCATATGTGGATTATTGGAATGTAGTTAGGAAACTCAATCAGTAGGAATTTCATCCAAAAACACCTGGAACCCAGCTTACCAGATACAAGTCTATGAAAACTTGTGAAGGAGACAGTTTAGCATGTTTCCCTCTGGTTTGGTGTGTTGGCTCTTCTCTAAGTATCTTCCTTGCCACCTCATCACCATCCTTGGCTCAGAAGGCCTCCTGGAGATGAGAAGCTTCTCTTACAGGAAGCATGTCTCCCAACACTCACACTGTAAAGTACCACTTTACCAACTAGGTGACTTGGTAAAGCTTGTATGGTATTATATAGCTGTTCTTGCAGTGGCTTCCTGAACATAATGCCTCTCCCTTGCCTTACAGGCCCATTAATAATTCTCCTGGGAGGAATTTTTGTTTAGGAGACAAGAATATCTTTTTCCTAGATGATCATTAAATATTCCTCAGTATAAAAAAAGCCATGTGTTGATAATAATAACAATCATAATATTAATGAATAATAACAATAACAGACATTCATAGGGGACTTATTTTGTTCCAAAACAGTGTCCTAAGTGCTTTCCACATTATTTTAACTTATATCATCATCATAAAACATCTTACTGGTTGAGACTGTTATTATCATCATTCTACAGACAACCTTTTGAAGAGGAGCAGAGATTGCCTTACCACTGACTAAGGAGTGTCTTCCTCCTACTTAGGGTTCGGTAATGACGTGAAAAGCATTTTTAAAAAGACAGTAAATGGAGCATATTTGGGGTATGCATTTTACTATTGCTGGTGCCGATATGTGCTACAGCAAAACCTCTGCCAAGAGAGGATAAAAGGAGTCAGCTCATAGTGGGTGGATACTAGAACTAGACAGAGGTTCAGATTGACATTGTTTAGGGGGATGGGGAGATCTAACAGGAAAAGGAGATGACTCAGAAAGAACTTCCCCAACAGTTTAGGATGCCCCCTAATGATGGGAACATTCTAAGATATCCGCTAGAGAAAAAGTCCAGGAAGGTATGGCATAGATTTCTCATTGCTGCTTCAACATTCATTTACCCTTTCTTTATTAGTAAGAGAGCTCCAATTTTATTTAGGGTGGCAATGTGCCTAGCTAAAATAATGCATTTCCCAGCTTATCTTGAGATTAAAGTGGCCACTTCACTGAGCTATGACCAGTGAGAAGTAAACAAAAGCTATTAGAATGAGAAGACAGACAGCTGGCATGTGTCACTTTGCCCCTTCCTTTTCCACACCCTACCTCCTAGAATGCAGATATGATAGATGAGGCTCCAAACACCATTTTGGACTATTGTGGTGATCCTGCAGATGGAAGCCAAATAATAAGAATGGAAGAGCAGATGGAAGTCAAATAAGAATGGAAGAGCAGAAATAGAGATGGAGGATGAGTCCCTGATGATCATGGGGTCACCATATCTTCCCCAGACTGCACATCTCCAAACTTATTTTATGTGGAATAAAATATATCTTCATAAGTTTAAGCCATTGATATATCTGACATGTTGTTATATGCAGCTGAACATGATTCTTAGCGGATCCACAAAGTTAGCTGAAGGTTTTATGGGCAGCAGAACCTTCCCTTTACAAGGAAAGAAAACTCAAAAGACCCCTCTACCAACAGACAGCAAAGGTCCTGTGGAGAGAGGCCAAATGAAGAGATCCAAGCTAGGAATTTCCCAAGCCCTTGAACAAGACAATCAACCTCCTTGCTTCTCAGTCCTCCCACTGACAAAATAAGAAAGCTAAATGTGATTATTAAGTCTCCACTCCAGGTAGAAAATTCTGCAATTTTACAATTATGAGCGAATAAGACACACCAGTGTTGCTAAAAACCTGCTGAAAGGCTATTAGAGTAAAGGTGCTATTTTCTCCTGTAGGGAGAGGTAACTTAATCAGATTTGACTGAAACCCAGTCCGAGGCTGTCTGGCCACTTGGCACAGGGTTGCTACTACTTTCGGATCAGCTTGTGATTGCCATAATCAGGGACTATTTGATTGGACAAACAAGTTCATTTCAACAGACTTAAGCATTCCTTATCCTAGTAACACAGGGATATCTTACTGAAGCAGAGAACACCAGGGCAGGAAGTCCAAACAGGAAAACTGAGAACTGGAAAACCAAAAAGTCTCTCTCCCTGTCTGTGGTCAAAGTGGTACAATCACCTTGGCCTCCTCCTCCTATTTCTCACTACTGTTAAGCTCCTTTGCTGCAGGTCTTATATGGTAGAAATATGAAAATGGCTTTCCCAGCTCTACATAATCTCTCTTTCAAGCTAGTACATGTGTTTCACTGGTTTACACTCCACGTCACTCAAATTTCTCATGGAATCTGATTGGTTCAGCTTTAATTAGCAATGACCCTGGGACAGTGTAAAGCCACAGGGTACAGGCAGGATAGGCAGGGCTTTGGGGCTGGCTCTCTAGGGAGGAGTATGACTGGGAAGGGAGAATTTGTATCTTCAGAGTAACAGTAAGGAAGTTTTTTCAGCGTTCCTCTTTAGGACAGGATGCATGTCTTTCCAATCTAAGAGCTCCATCCACAGGACTCTGCTGAGGTGGGGCAGGATGAGCGTAGATGGATTATACCAAGATATATCAAGTCGTGCCTCCTAACCTGCCTGGAGTGATACAAATGTATCACTGTTTTGAGTTTATAACATTTACTACAGAAGAGTTCTATGACACCTGTGTACGGGCATTTGGAATGATTACAGGCACTTGGAATGATTACAAATTGAAATAAAATTATTATGAAATTTTTGTTGAGACTCTAATAACATAGCATTCCTTCAGATAATTAAAGTGTTGGAAACAGGATAGAAAAACTGCTAATTTAGCCTTCCTTTTATCTGTTTCACTAGCTCTTGTTATAACCTTCTCTACTTTATGCAGAACTTGTCTGTGTAATTCAGAACTTGTTAATTACCACCTTGACCAGTTCTGAACTCTGTTATTTGTGGATCATCTTGATAATTAACTGGATGTTTCTATATTTTAATTGGATAGAATTCATCACTTTATACTATATTTACAATTGTTATGGTATGAAAGCCACCTCACTAATAGATGTTTTGCTTTTTTAAAACTATAATAATATATGGAAACTTTTAGTATTTTTATTTATTTTAGAATTTGGCTCAAAATAATAGTTTCCATGACATCTTCTATCCCACATTAATAATTATTTTACCCTCAAGAGCATAAGAGATTTAGTTTGTTGTCAAAATTTTGTTTTCTCAAAATTCAATTTCTCTTAGTCTTTAGTCTCTTAAGCATAAAAAGATGAAATATAATACATAGAGGTCACACTAAAAAATAAAATCCAGATTTAAGCTTCTTATGGTGGCTTAGACAGGTCACTTAATCCTCTGAACTTCAATTTTCATTATGTAAGGTGGTCAAAATAATATCTGAATCTACTCCATGTAATTTTTAAGTTTACTAAATGAAATATGGTTATGAAAGTAATTTTAAAAATGTAAGAATGTGCAACATTATTAGATACTATCAACAGGAAGCTTACCTATTCTTCTATGTCTTATAAGATGATAAATTGCTGTTGTCAGAATAAAAGTAGATGAAGCATAAATGAATCAGGTAACCTAGGCTTATATTGGTGAACAACACAAGAGTATAGACACCTCTCTATGATAAATATGAGTGAAACATCATGATTAGGGGTAAATTGGTTTACTATTTCATCAAGACAGCATGCCCATACAATATAACAGAACAGCTTTTAGGGGAGACACTCTATATAAAATGATGCTTGCTAATCACTCATCATTTTTTTATTATGTAAACTGCCAGACAACTGATTTGACAAAAATCTTATGAATTAGTTTAAATGCATTCCTGACGTGTAATCAATATCTCCAGCAGACTTCAAGAATGCATTGCAGTGTGTTACATCCTTATTAGACATATCAAAATGAGCCTTACCTGAAGCTAATATCATTAAATCACTCAAGAACTTAATTTTAGTTCAGTAATCGACTTCCATAAAATTGTCACTGGAAATGCTGAAGGGACAGCCCATTAGAGTATAAAATTGTAGGTTTGCTTTCTTCATCTTTCTTAAAATGCACTAAAGCAAATCTAGTTAGAAACATGAAAAATACCATGAGTATTACATACCTTCTCTAATAAATTTCATATTCTGAAATCAGAAAGTGTTGAGAGATGGTTAAGATGAGAAATTATGTAATATTTGACCCACTTTTCTTGAAATCCTTCAGTTTGTAGCTTGTTGGTATTTGCCCCTGGCTCCCTATGATGATGTTTTTTGTTTGTTTCAGCTCTCATACTACTAAAGTGTCATAATTTTCCAACACTTTAACACTTTGGTAGTCCATTTACTGCCATATTCTTTGCATTTTTGCATAGGATTTTTTGTCGATAATTTTGCTATTTAAAATGGCCCCAAACTGTAGTGTTGGAAGTGCTATCTAGTGTTCTGAAACACAAGAAAGCTGTCATGGCCTTATGGAAAATATATATTAGCTAAGCTTTGTTCAGGCATGAGTTACAGACCTATTCTCCATAAGTTCAATGTTAATGAATCAACAACATGTTAAATAAGGTGTCTTTATATCACAACACACATAAAACAAGGTTACACGGTTTTGTTTGGGGGGTTTTATGGCTTTAAATAGTGGAAGGGAGAAATGGGGAGAAGTTGGTCAAAGTGTACAAAATTTCAATTATGCAAAAATGAATTAAGCTCTAGAGATCTAATGTATAGCATGATGATCATAGTTAACAATACTATAATGCATACTTGAAACTTGCTAAGAGGTAGATCTTAAGTTTTCTCACCTAAAGAATAAAAGAAAGAAAATGGTAACAGGGTTATATATTGATTGATTAATAAAAATTTTGTGACCAGAGGGCTCGCAGGAACCTAGCTCCATATTTCCTCTAAGACCAATTATCCAGTATTTGCTAAATCAGTGTTCAAAGAAACATTATAGAACATAAGTATCACAAATAAAAATTATGTCTAGAGAATATATATATACATACACAAATATATGTATACAGAAAATATATATACACATATGTATGTATACAGTTTTAAATGTTACTATTTGGTTAAAAAAAAGTCAATAATGGGCCAGGCGTAGTGGTTCAAGTCTGTAATCCCAGCATTTTGGGAGGCCGAGGTGAGTGGATCACCTGAGGTCAGGAGTTTGAGACCAGCCTGGCAAAAATGGCAAAACCCCATCTCTATTAAAAATACAAAAATATCCAGGTGTGGTGCCATGTGTCTGTAATTCCAGCTACTAGGGAGGCTGAGGCAGGAAAATAGCTTGAACCTGGGAGGCAGAGGTTGCAGTGAGCTGAGATCATGCCACTGCACTTGAGCCTAGGCGACAGAGTGGGACTCTGTCTCAAAAAAAAAAAAAAAAGTCAATAATGTTATGAACATCCTAACAAATTTCTGTCTTAAATATCACATCCATGAAAATGTCAAAGTTTGAGAACTCACCTTTATTCATTCAAAAATTATATGTTGATTATCTTTTATTCTCTACTAGGTTTTGCTGTGGGAATAATAGTGAAGAAGATGGTAACAGTACCTATTTTTTTTGGAACACATATTTTATGGGAAGACACAGTACCCATCCCCCAAAAAAAGACAAATAAATATATGCATAAAATGACTTTACATGGAATTTTGTTACAAAAAGACCAAAGAAGACACTAAGATGAAGAATGAGAATGGGGGAACATAATCTAGGTAGTTTTGTCAAGATTAGATCTCTATAGGGAGGTGACATTTAAGATTGACACCCAAAAGGATAGAAGGAATTAGTCACATGACATGTAGGGAGAACATTCCATTTAGAGGGGGAGCTTAGGCCGCGACCATGAGGTGGCAATGTGCTTGGCTCATTTAAAGGACTGAAAAATGAGCAGTGTGACTACAAGATGGTGGGTTAGGAACAAAGTAGAAGTGGAGACATAAATCGGGGCCAAAGGATGCAGAAATTATACTCTGCTCTAGTGTATGGATTTTATTTCATTGCTATGAGAAGCCACAGAAGGATTTTAAGCAAAGCGTTGACATGATTCCATTTGAATTTTAAGGTCACTTTTGCTCCTTGTGGAGAGTGGATTGAAGAGGAGCATTGAACTGACGAGACCCAGTGAAAATTCTGTTCCAATAATGTGGATGTATGATCATGATGATTTAATAAACGTGAAGCAAAGAGGTCAAAGCCAAGAAATCACTGGAGTTAAAACCACCAGGGATGCTACCAAATTGGATGTAGGGTGAGGAAAAGTAAGTTTTCAAGGGTGGCCCTATATTTCTGCCTTGAGTAACTGAATAAATAGTGGTATCATTTACTGAGATAGGGAAATCTTGGCAGGTACCTCTGTAAGTTTCAGTTTTCTCACCTATAAAATGGAAAGAATAATGTCCATTTCACAGGGTTGTTCTGAGGATTAAGTAAGGTGTTCCATGTAAAACATTTATAGTGTTTAACACATTAGCTATTACTATTAGATATGGTGTAGAAAAGATGCTGCCATGTTTTCATAAGCAATATTTCTCAAGTAGTTAAACATCCACCTCGATCTGTTATTATAGGGAATGATGGTGAGCTTAAGGTGACTATAATGCTATTTGGCCAAGGGATATTGAAATCTTGACTTGGTTGCATAATACTGCCTTCCTATGAAGTCAACAAATTAAAATAACAAAAATAATACCTTGTTTACATCTGGAATTTTGGCCCCAAAGCCCAATATAATGTAAACTTGACCATGATTATAGACTTTTTACTTTCCCAAGTAAGCCTAGACTATTATACCTTCTAACTAAAGCAGACTCTCATTGATATAACCTGTGACACCTCCCCTTGAATGAAGTTTGTATCAAAGTTTGGGTTATGTGATTAGTAGCCACAATGAATCTCTTTGAAAACTCCACCTGCTGTAGTGAAGCACAATTAGGGCCTTGGACTCCTCTTAGGGATATCAAAGGGGCTGGAGCAAGGTGGTACAGAAAGGAAGATTCCTTCAGTTCCCCTGAGAGGACAAGAGGTACACTTTAAGTTGACTTAGAAAATGCTTCTTCTCGTAGTTCAAGCTAAAATGGGCTTATCTTATTCCCTGATCAAATGAACATACATCCTAAAATTATTAGGGAGAGATATGACATACCATTTAAGTTGGCTGCAGTAAAAACCACTTCCCTTAGAGAACATAAGTAAGTTGAGGGCATTGTGAGTTTGGCACCTTTAAGAAACCCCTAGCAATGGCTCAATAAGCCTGGAGGCTACTACAGTTGTGCTCATTCTTCCAACAAGCATTTATTGAGCACTTGTTTATTAGGTTCTTCCCATGATAATCATTACTTTGAGTCTTCATAATTTTCATCATAAAGATAAAACTAGACAATATTACTCCTTCCTGGTAAGGGTGGGTGTGTCTTTTTTTTTAAATCAAGCAAGTTTGTTTTAATAAAATACAGCTAAATCTATGAAATTTTGAGAAAAGTGTAACAGAAGAGACAGTCCTTTTTCCCCCCTCTCTAAAAAACGTTTTTGTTTGTCTAATCAAGTCAGCATAAAATTATTTGCCACTGGCCGGGCGCGGTGGCTCACGCCTGTAATCCCAGCACTTTGGGAGGCCGAGGCAGGTGGATCATGAGGTCAGGAGATCGAGACCATCCTGGCTAACAAGGTGAAACCCCGTCTCTACTAAAAATACAAAAAATTAGCCGGGCGCGGTGGTGGGCGCCTGTAGTCCCAGCTACTCGGGAGGCTGAGGCAGGAGAATGGCGTGAACCCGGGAAGCGGAGCTTGCAGTGAGCCGAGATTGCGCCACTGCAGTCCGCAGTCCGGCCTGGGCGACAGAGCGAGACTCCGTCTCAAAAAAAAAAAAAAAAAATTATTTGCCACTGAGGCTAAAGCTTTTGAATGAATAAATTTTTTGCTGCCTGCATCTGGTTAACATGTCACTTCCTGATAAGGAAGCCACTTTTTTACTGCAGTTGCACACTATTTTATTGTTTATTCATTAGATATTTTTGAAATTATTCCTGTTTTAAGACAGATTTCATAATACAAATAATATATTTGTAAAAGCCTCTTGTCATATTAAGGCACCACCTCAAATACACACAGGCACACTTACATACATACACACACACACATGCATGCACACACATATGTACATACACATATATTTAAACTTGGACTGTCATCTTGTCACTCCAGAATGGTAGCTAGTCAACAGAAGAAACGTACTGAAAATAGAAAAGAAGTCTGAAAATATAGGCCTCTCCTATGTAGCTAGCTGATTTCAGCTGCTTATGACTGCAGAGTATAAGTTAATCGAATCAATGCTCACAATACAAGTTAGTCATCAGAAAGGACCAGAAACTGATTATGTATGAATAAGAGTACAGAAAACAATGTATCTGGACATACACTATAACTCTGGGATATTTCTATTCTAAGAACCAATTATTGCAAAGTCAATGAGTCCCCTACTATTTTAATGAGTTCAGTTGATATTCATCAGAACTTAAAATACATAGTAATAGTAATGATTAATTGTTACGGTTATTGAGGCATAAGTGTATAATAAACCAGAACTCACTTAGGTGCCATCTGCGATAGTACAAACTTCAGTAGAACATTTAGTACAACATAGACTAATTTTAGACTCATTTAGATTACAGACATATTCATTATAGCAAACTAATTTGTCCCAAGTGACTGAAAAATAATCAACATCATTTAAGAATTAATATATAGAATATACTGTTACACATGTATTTATCAATCTAAAGTATGATTCTAAGAATTTGAATGTAATAAAACATAACTATTTAAAATTTCATGCAAATTAATTGAGTCTTTGCTATTTCCTAGAACTTTCTAATTGTTTCAAGGTTATTCTTTCAAACATCAATTATCTATATACCATACAGCCACAAAGGTCTACACTAGTTTTGTGATTATCAGATAAATGGTTCTTTTTTTTGTATTCTGGGACAACCCAATCCCACAACCTAGACCTTGAATACTCTTCTGTTAGCCCTATGGTATGGCACTGCTATTTCCAATCTCCCTGAAATTTTACAAGTTCATTTACCAGCTGTCTCAGAGTTCTAGAACAGCTTTTTCCTCATGGTAGAACAGCTTAGATCTAGTATTTTTACCCACACAAAAAGGGACAAAATGAAAACATTACAAGTTACATTAAAATGTATACGCTACACTGTAAAATAACCAGGAATACAATTTCCACCCAATTAAGTAGCACAGAATACATTCTAATGACTGCATTTATGGAAGATACCAGCAACACTTAGTAAACAAACTGCATGTTAATTCACCAGGTGACTGGGAACACCAGGGTGATAAAGTTTCTTTAAGTGCACTGAATATGAAAACAAACAAAAAACAAAAGTGGGCAGCAAACAAAGCCTGTATTCTTTGTAATGAACCTTATAATTACCAAAAAGGCTAATTGTTAATGGAGTTTAAACAGTCTGCTATCTAAAATCCTTATGGAGTGAAATCCAGTTAAGTTTTGTTAAGACAATAATGCTATGTAAATCAAGCAGAAATAAAAAAGAATAACATTATAACATTTTCTACCTCCTGGGAGGAAAACACAATGTGCTGACAGTGGGCAAAGAGGTGGTTTAATTGAGTGGGGGAAGAAAGCAACAAACAGTAATTGAGTCAACCATCCAGCATTCTGATTGTTTGAAACCAGTTCCATCTAGTCTAATTAAAGGAGTAATGATAATTAAAAAATGTATTTTGAAATGGTCCCTCCATCTCCCCTGCTGTAATAAAATGTCATGGTATTTATTTAAAAAGGCAAACCTAGGCATATAACTTCATATTGAGGGACATTTTCTTGTCAAAGTGTTCTCATGTAATAGCTTCATCCCATAAAATAATTAAACAAAAATGAGCATCAGGCAAGGTAGTCAGCTGGTCACATAGGTGCTTATTTCAGCATTCGTGCAGAAATAATGATGCCAGCAGCATGCCTAACAACGTAGCCTTCCCTGAAATGGACCCCTCTCAGTGATAGTGAGCTACATATGAGTTGAATGTGCCATAAAAAACTTCTTAAACATATAGTTAGGTGTGTTTATCATTAGATCAGCAATCTGTTGGTTGAACTGGATGTTACTTTTGTGTATAGTGCATTTAGAATACTAGGTATCTTCACATAGTGAACAAATACATTATGATAGCCAAGATGCACTTACTCTGTCTTCCACCAAAGATGAAATATGAAAGGGAAAATAACACTGTGGTTGATTCAGGGCTACCACTGCAACAACAATCTGAAAAAAAAGGACCCCGCAAACTCAAATCTAGTTTCCCTTCTCTCAATCTCCTTCCCTAAAGAAGAAGAGATCTCACTAAGAGGGTAGGAGGCCAGACTGGTCTCATTATAAAGAGATCAAGAAGAAGGTTATGGGACTGGAGGAGCAGGAGAGAAATACTCCTGGGGGTTGGGGTTTTCACCTGCACGGAGCTCTAAGACTCCTCCTGTGCTCAAGAAAATTGAGGAATGGAAGGATCTAGGATGAAAAGTGCTAGTATAGGTTTTGACTTGGCTCTTTCTTAATTGCCAGTAAGAAATGAGATACTTTTATAATTATCTGTTGATCTGAGTCTCTTCAAACAAAATTCCACCTAGAATTGCCTTGATAATTCATTTGGATTATTTATGTCATGGCTCCATTATCTGAGGCCATGATCTATAGAACTAATTCTAAAAATAAGAAAAGGCTATATACCTTTTGAAGTATGTGATAGACTATAAAGTCAAGTAGACAAGATGGCAACATTTGAAAAAAATCACTAACATTACCAAACAGGATGAAAAAAGCTTAAAATGTTATGCTATCTTTTAAAAAATGATTCAATAACACAATTGAGTGAAGAATAAGTGGGATTGTATTGTTTTCTGATTGTAGTGGTAATATTCTTAAGAACGTAATTAAGAGGCATATAATTATTTGGTTTAAGTCCCAAATAAACCAAATTATTTGGTTTAAGCTTTGGAGCTACATGTAATCAAATATGCAAAAGCATCTTCCAGATTAAGAGAACTGTGTGTTCCTATTTATTTTTACCATTGTTTAGGAATGGCCATGAGTGGTACCTTTATGTTGATGATTTGAATTTTAAATTTGTTTAGAAAGTCAATTCAAAGATTTTTGGAAACACGCAGAGATCTTATACATTTTGTGCTTTCTCAACAGAACGATGACAATCAATTTTTTCACTCTCCTATGGCATTGATCATGAATTGCAATTTCCTTTTATCAGATTTTTATATTCATATGAAGATTCAAAGGAAATTCCTTAGATATTTTAGATATGGCTGAATATTTCTCATTTTTTAATCTTCTCAAGGGGACCATGACAATTCATTTATCTCACAAAATGAATCATCTGAATGAATCTGTCACTGTTAAAGTACCATTTCCTTTTAACAAAAAAGAAGTACCTACTTATGTTTAAAAGTATCACTATTTAGCTAGGAGTTACCTGTACTAAAAGATGTTTAAGTATTTGGATAGAAGTAGACAAAGAAAGATGCGATGTCTTCAGACACCAACTGGCCAGAGTTGGGCCAAACTTCACAGGTTAAGGGCACAGTCCACCTCAAGGCCACTCTCACTTCAGATTTCAGCTGCAAATTAAGAGAATCCCAGGCTATTCTCATCTCACTTCTGACCAGCTGGTTCAAATTTGGGGGTTCCCATTGCCCTCTCAGTTTTGATAATTTACTAGAATGACCTATAGACCACAGGGAAGTGCTATGCTTATTACAGTTTTATTATAGCAAAAGGATACAAATAAGAGGCAGGCAAAGGAAGAGAAGCATCGAGTACAGTGGGAAGGTTCCAAACATGCAGTTCACATTGTTTTTTCCCCACGAGAGGTCCTGTTATCCTCCTGCCACAGGAATGTGCAGCCATACCCAGAGTATGGCCAACAATGGAAACCCACCTGAACTTTGGTGTCCAGGGTTTTTATTGGGGTTTCATTATGTACGCATGACTGATTGAATCATTGACTTTGAGGTTGAACTCTTTTTTTTTTTTTTTTTTTTTTAGATGGAGTTTCGCTCTTGTTGCCCAGGCTGGAGTGCAATGGTGCAATCTCGGCTCACCACAACCTCCGCCTCCCAGGTTCAAGCAATTCTCCTGCCTCAGCCTCCTGAGTAGCTGGAATTACAGGCATGAACCACCACACCCGGCTAACTTTTTTGTATTTTTAGCAGAGACAGGGTTTCTCCATGTTGGTCAGGCTGGTCTCGAACTTCCAACCTCAAGTGATCCGCCCACCTTGGCCTCCCAAAGTGCTGGGATTACAGGCATGAGCCACTGTGCCCAGCCAGAGGTTGAACTCAATCTCTAGCTTCCCTTGCCTCCCTGGAGACCAGGCTAATATCATGTGGCTGAATACTCTAACTCTCTAATCACATAACTGGCCTTTCTGGCACAGCCAGGCCCCAACCTGATCATCTTGTTAACATAAACTATCAAGGGTCTCACATTGAATAACAAAGAAATATCTATTACTCAGGAAATTCCACAGGTTTAGAAGTTACCTCTTGGGAATGAGGGACAAAGGCCAGCCAAACTCCCCATTACACAAAAGCCTTGTGAGATCCCATGTCTTACTAAATTATTTCACAATAAATTTTGGACATTTGGGGGAAGTAGTAATGTAGTATTAAAGCAAACCTATAATTGGCCCTCATCTATTGGCTTGAACTCAAATTAGGCAAGAAACAGTTAATAGTTTTCAGAAATAAGTACAAACCTTTCTATTAACTCTCACTATAAAATTATTACTTCCTAGGAATTTCATTTCAAATAATGATTAACATATTATATATTTACTAAGGGAATATCTATATCACCAACTAGATGGTACATCACAGTAATGATAAGAACCAGGTTTTAAATTTAGTTCTAGATATAGATTCCAAACCTGTACATAGATCCCAGATCTGTCATTCATTTCCAAAATAAACAGTTTTGCATGATCAGATAAAATAGTGAAATCCTTAAATATATTATATTTAGTAAACAAATTCTATTATTATTATTGGTATTTATACATGTGAGGTGAAATCTACCCCTTAACCCTTTTTAGTATATGTACATTGTGGTTTGTTTTATTGGTATTAGACATCAAAAGGAGGCATTTTATCTAAGATAATGTTTCTATTCATTTATTCAACATATTTATTGAACACATATCACATGCCAGTTATTGGGGATGTTCCAAACACAAGCAATGTGTTAGTTAACACAAGGTACAAAAGTCCTTTCCCTCAATGAACTTATATTCAAGTGAGAAAAGATAGGTAATTAGCAAGAGTTTTTAAAACTATAATATTTGTAATGACAAATATATGAAAAAACAATCTAAGAAGATGAAGTTAAAGACAGTTTTGTAAAAGTTGTAAATTCAAATAGGGTTCCCAAAGAAACTGAAATTTGAGAGTGGTGAAAGGGAGAAACATGGAGTTTTCTAGTAGAAAAACATTCCAGGCAGAGGAAACAGCAAGTGAATGGCTCTGAGGCAGGAGCCTGCCTGGTGTGTTCAAAAAGCAGCTAACAAGGTCGATGTTGCCCAAGTGAAGTGATTTGAAAGGGAGAAGAAGTAGGAAATGAGGTCAGATAAGTAATGTAGGGTATGAGGGTGTGCAAATGACATGGTACCTAGTAGGTCATTGTAAGTTTGGTTGGTTCATACTTTGAGAAACTATTAAAGATTTTGGGCAGAGGAGTGACATATATTTTAAAAGGATTCTGGTTGTCATGTTCAGAACAAACCGAAGGGGAGAAAGCAAAGAACGAGGACGACTATTTAAGATGCTATTGAAATAAGCCAAGTGAGAGAAGAGAGTAGTTTGGACTGTGGTGGTTTTGGGGGTTGGGGGGGATAAAAGGTGGTTGTTTTCCAGATATATTTTGAAGGCAGACGTATCAGGATTGAAAAAGAACACTCAAGGATAATATCAAGACTTTCAGACTGAGGAACAGAAAGGATGGAGTTGCAATTAACTGAGATGGAAAGACTGTGAGAGCAGCAGGCTTTGGGGAAAGGGAGAGAAGGAGGAAGGTAAAGCAGCCCAAACTCTAATCTAGACTTCCTAAATCCAAACCTTGTGTTCTTTACTACAGCAAGTCAGCACACTATTTTTAGTTTATTGAACACCTGTACTCTTGCAAGGACTATGCTTTACATAATTTGCCTTATTAAATTCTTTTAAGAAGCCTATGATGATGAAAAAAACAAAAAGGTAAACACTTACACAATACTTATCATGTGTCCTGAGTGTTATATCTCTCTCTCTCACACACACACACACACACACACTCATATAATCTTCACAAGAATCATAGGTACTATTATTATCCATATTTTACCAACGGGAAAAGAGAGGTGGAGTAACTTGCCATTGGTTACACAGCAAGTAAATGGGCAGAGGAGAGATTTGAACCTAGGTAAGACAGCTCCTACATCTGTTATGTTGTCATCTGAGAGAGATGTAGGGAGAAGACTAAGGATCAGAGGGCTTGTCACCTCCTGGGGATTACATGGTAAGAACAGGCATTTTAACTTTTGTTTTTACTGCAGACCTTTGACCAATGGATTATAGAGAATAGCACCTTTCAATTTCAGGTGGGGGAGCCAGAGAAGTAATAATAGAGTTAGGGACAGTGGTCTATTTCTGGGAACTCTGCTGTGGTCACTAAAGTAATCTGAGACAGAGAGAGAGAGAGAGTGTGTGTGTGTTTAGTTTTACTGTATCAGTTTTCCAGGGCTTCTATAACAGAGTACCACAGACTAGGTAACTTAAACCACAAAAAAAGAATATTTTATCACAGTTCCACAGGCTAGAAATCCAAGATTAAAGTGTCAGCAGGGTTGGCTTCTCCTAAGGATTCTTTCCTTAGACTATAGTTGGCCACCTTCTCCCTGTGTCTTCACATGATCTTCCTTCTGTCCCTGTGTCTGAATCTCTTCTTCTTATAAGGGTACCAGTCATTTTGGGTTAGGAACCATTGTAATGACCTCATTTTACTTTATTATTTCTTTTAAAACCCTGTCTCTAAATGCAGTCACATTTTGGAGAACTCAGGGGTAAAACTTCAATACATGAATAGTGGGTGACACAATTTAGCTTGTAACAGTTACCTAGAATTGTTATTTAAAATCTCCTTTCCAACTTAAAATTCATATGGAACCAAAAAAAAGCCTGTATAGCCCAGACAATCCTAAGCAAAAAGAACAAAGCTGGAAGCATCACGCTACCTAACTTCAAACCATACTACAAGGCTACAGTAACCAAAACAGCATGGTAATGGTATGAAAACAGACACATAGACCAATGGAACAGAACAGAGATCTTGGAAATAAGACCACACATCTACAACCATCTGATCTTCAACAAACCTGACAAAAACAAGCAATGGGGAAAGGATTCTCTGTTTAATAAATGGTGCTGGGAAAACTGGCTAGCCATATGCAGAATATTGAAACTGGATCACTTCCTTACATCTTTTACGAAAATTAACTCAAGATGAATTAAAGACTTAAATGTAAAACCCAAAACTATAAAAACCCTAGAAGAAAATCTAGGCAATACCATTCAGGACATAGGCATGGGTAAAGGTTTCATGACAAAAACAGCAATAGCATTTGCAACAAAAGCAAAAATCGACAATTGGGATCTAATTAAACTAAAGAGCTTCTGCACAGCAAAAGAAACTATCATCAGAGTGAACAGACAACCTACAGAATGGGGGAAAATGTTTGCAATCTATCCATCTGACAAAGGGCTAATATCCAGAATCTACAAGGTACTTAAACAAATTTATAAGAAGAAAAACAAACAACCCCATTAAAAAGTGGTCAAAGGACATGAACAGATACTTCTTAAAAGAAGACACTTATGCAGCCAACAAACATATGAAAAAAAGCTTAACATCACTGATCATTAGAGAAATGCAAATCAAAACCGCAATGAGATACCATCTCATGCCAGTCAGAATGGCGATTATTAAAAAGTCAAGAAACAACAGATGCTGGTGAGGCTGTGGAGAAACAGGAATGCTTTTACACTGTTGGTGGGAAAGTAAATTAGTTAAACCATTGTGTAAGACAGTGTGGTGATTCCTCAAGGATCTAGAACCAAAAATACCATTTGACCCAGCAATCCCATTACTGGGTATATACCCAAAGGAATGTAAATTATTCTATTATAATAATTTACATGGGCACACATATGTTCATTGCAGCACTATTTGCAATAGCAAAGACATGGAATCAACCCAAATGCCCATCAATGATAGAGTAGATAAAGAAAATGTGGCACTTATACACCATGGAATACTATGCAGCCATACAAAGGAAAGAGATCATGTCCTTTGCAGGGACATGGATGGAGCTGTAAGTCATTATCCTCAGCAAACTAACACAGGAATAGAAAACCAAACACTGCCTGTCCTCGCTTATAAGTGGAAGCTGAGCAATGAGAAGACGTGGACACAGGGAGGGGAACAATACACACTGCGGCCTGTCAGAGAACAGGGGGAGGGAGGGCATCAGGATAAATAGCTAATGCATACAGGGTTTAATACCTAGGTGATGGGTTGATAGGTGCAGCAAACCACCATGGCACACATTTCCCTATGTAACAAACCTGCACATCCTGTGTATCCTAGAACTTAAAATAAAATTAAATTTAAAAATAAATAAAAATAAAAATCTCCTTTCTGTAAAAGTTGGAAAACCTTGTTCCCATTGAACATCACAGGTAGATTCTAAACTTATATATGATGACACTTGGCTGTCTTTTACTCTGATGACTTGCATTCCTCCACTTATACTCTGTGTCTCAGACATAAGAAGAGAAAAAGCAGGAAGCAACAGCCCCTGTTTTGCTCTTGGACATTGCAATGGGTGTGAGGGTGGAAAAAGTTTAGTCAGAAGATAGCGAAATAGTTCAGTCAGCAAGTCAGGAAAACTTCCATCATCCACCCTCTATAACATGATGGAAGAGGGGAAAAAAGTGCTTTTAAAACCATAGAGGTAGCTCCTTTTATGTTTTTGAAGCTAAGACTAATTTGATAGACATCTATCAATGTTGAGCTTTTATGTCTTTAGGTTGGTTTCATAAGTTTTTTGAAATTGAATACTTCAATTTTGTCTGTAAAAATATATTGAGAATTATTTGGAGTGCCTATTGATGGAAAGATACCAGATATTTTTATTAAGTATCTATACATTAATGTATTCCCCTGAGATTGTATTTTATCTTGTGAAATGCAAAGCTGGTTAAACCCCCACAAAAATAATCTAGATTTTTTCCATAAATGAAATGAGTACACTTTTAGCTAAAGGGGAAACAGACATTGTATAATTTCCAGGAATTCTATAGAAAGAGTAGACTTACAATAGTTTACTAAAACAACAATGTGAAAGAGACATGCAAATTGCACTCAAATCCTTTCATGCTGAATAGTAACTGGTGACAGTAACCCTGGAGATAGAGACACTGGGTCAATCTGAATAGTGGAAGGGCTATGAATGTGTAGGAAGATGTGTCTAACACATAGCTGAAAGTAGTACAATAGGGGAGTGGCATCATAATTGTAAGGTCATATTTATTGTAATAATAAAAATTGTAAGGTCCTTAAATTCCATTCTGAGTAGGAGGCATTAGATGAAGGCACCTTGTGATCCACATGATTCCAGTATCTAATTCTGTATTTGCAACCAAAGTTTATAATGGGTTATATGGGTTTTCTGTTTGCAAAGCTTTTAGCTGATTCCTATCAGCGACCTAGTCCTGGGTAACCCGCTGCCTCAAGACATTTAGAAGGCCTTGAAGACTGTGTCTCTTCTAACCCTCACCTAATTTCACAGACCTAGAGGAAATGCAGATCCTTAGTTTACAATAAGAACCAAGATTAAGGTCGTCTGAGAAGAGCTCAACCTTCTGGAGATTTTGGTAGTAGAATTAAATGCTTTGGTTTTAACTATAAAAGATAAACTTTTGAGTTCTAGAATTTATTAGATTGTCTACTCCAAGATAAGAACAATCACAATAGCTACTTATATTTTCACAACATTTTATGGCTTAAGAAGCTTTTTTAAATTCATTATTTTATTTAATCAAATTTTTACAACATAGAGGGGAAAGCCCAGGATTCAGGGTTGTTCACATGTGTGAGCCTCGTTTCCTCACCCGTGCTAGGGGTAATCACAGGAAGTCTACTTATCTCAAGGGTCAGTTGTGAATGTCAAAGAATACAGTGTTATATAAAAACAATTTTAATTCCATTGTTAGATGTTATTTTATAATAGATTCTATTAAACCACAACCTCTGAATTAATTATCTTGCACTTTTTGATGGTGGTTGATGCTGAGAATGGCTTCTTCGCTCTTACATTGCAACTGTCAAAGCCTTTAAAAACAATGACTTAATTATTTTATTACATTGACAGAATAAAATTCGTACAGTCATTTTATCTATGAAGACTGAGAATTTATTTAATGATTACCTTGGAATATATCTATTCATTAGTGGTGGAAAAAGATGAAACGTTGCCAGCAGACAAAGATAGTTATTTCTTCTTTCTAGAGATGTGAAAATAACAATTACTACTTACTGAGTCCCTACTTAGTGCCAAACACTGCTCTAGGTGTTTTGTATATTTCATCTTTTGATCCTTACACAATGGCATGTGTGTTACTGCTCATTGCCACTTAGCAGAGATTTACTCAATTAGGACATGATGAAGCTGGGATTTGAGCCCAGAGATGTTCAACTTTAAAGACACTTGCTCTTTCTAATCAATATTTTATTACATAAACATTAACTTGCTCAATTATAAAGTGTTCTTGTATCTGAATGAATGGAGGTCTGGTAGGACTAAATGGAATATATATATATCTAGGCATGTTGGAATGGCTGTTAGAAAGCAATGTTAGAACGGACACCTCTGCATGGGCTGCAATTATATTTGACTTTCTCTCAACTTCTTTATTCAGTCCTTCCCCTCTCATGTGCTTCCTAAGAGCTCTCTCATACTAATATATCAAGAAGAGGACTAAAGAGACTATTCATCAAAATACGTCTTAGGGAAACCATTATTTGTGTTAGGAAGAAATACTTTGAGAAGTTATTAGAGGATAAAGCTCCAAGGGTGGGAAACTGTTGCAAACATGGATTGCTAACATACCATGCATAAGTCAAAAAGAGGAAATTTGCCAACTTCCACATTATGTAGTCCTCTGACATTCATAGTACTCAGTAATAAGAAGAAATGAAGTAGCAGTATATGCTACAACATTGGTGTTTCTTAAAAACATTAGGCTAAGTGAAAGAAGCCAGTCACAACAGACCCCAGAAAGCCAATCTATAAAGATGGAAAATACATTAGTGGTTTCCTGGGGCTGGAGTGAGAACAGGGAATGATTGCAAATGGTCACCAGGGATCTTTTTGGAATAGTATAAATGTTTTAAAATTGGACTTTGGAAATGGTCACATGACTCTGTAAGCTTACACAACCATTGGATATTCACTTAAAAATGGGTGAATTGTATAGTGTGCAAATTATGCCTCAATAAATATGTTTTTTTTTTTAAAAAGGTGCTGCACAGTAGTCGTGTTTGCAATGCTACCACTCATGGAAAACAGCAGAGTACCTCTCGAAGCACACCCAAGAAATCGACAGCAGAGGTTGCCTCTGAGGAGGGAAATGGGGCACAGGAGCTGAGAAGAGGAGGAGAGTTCCTCTGAATGTATAATGTTTGGTGCTCTTTGAATTTTACACTATGTGCATGTAACCACTATTCAAAAATAACATTAAACCCTTTACATATTTTAGTTACTAGGAGATACTTGGCTGCTGTTCATAGTGAGGAGGTCATTAATGGTAATGGGGTCAGAAGAAACGACGGTCTAAGGGGAAAATGCTGCATTATCTATTTTCAGAAATGATCATTTTGATCTATTATTCAGAATAATATTGATTTGAACAGCAATACCCTATAACCAAGGGACCTGAAGGGAACAGTATGCAGAGCCTAAGATAAAGAAACCTGTATATTTTGTTGTGGTGAGAGTGCTGAAAGTGGAGAGTGGAAAGTCTGAGCCTTTACGTTTTTGATGCCAGAGTAATCATTCAGAAGGCTTTTGAAGAGTAACGTATTGACTACACTCTGTTACATTTCAGTCATTTTGCTATCATCCTTTTTTCCAGTACATGCCATAGAATGTAGCAATTCAAGAGCAAACTGTTGGAAAACATGCTCAACTCATCTTCCTCAGCTTGTTATTTCTTCAAATTATCTAATTCACTGTGCTTTTTGGATTTCTTTTTGCTATAGATGGTTTTCCATACAAGTGAAATTGCTAAATAATTGTCAAGCTTCTGCTCCACTTAGAAAATATTCACCAGTTATAACAGATTACATCCTAGTACTCTTAATTCCATAATAATGTATATCTTTGGAATCTTGACGATTTTCAACTCTTAATCCATAGCTCAAGTCTTCTGTCTGATGTTGAATGCAGTGATCTTCCAAGCAAATGACAGTATTTGAACCTTCCCTTAAAATGGTAGTAATAAAATTCCAAAGTACTTGTTAAGTGAAGGCATATTATAAATTACTGATATTTGGAAATTTCTAAGAGTATGTCACTTAGAAATGAATATGTAGTGGTTAATGTGACTGTCTTCTATTACTGAGAATATGTGAATCAAAGCAGGATGCTAAGATTTCCTTTCTTTGTTATGAATACCTGTTTATACTAATGTTCCATTATGACAAACTCTCCTCACTGGCTTGGAAGAGTATGATATCATAATCTGAGAAAATGTTAAATGATGCTTTCTAAATTAAATGCTTCATTAAACCTCAGAGATCCACTCTAAATTTTATTTCCCACATGATAATTTTTAGTTAAGGCTAAAGATGAAAGGTAAAGTGGACAGATAATGTTTGCATAGGTAACCGAGGGGAAGCAATATGAGCATAGCTAGGCTTAGCCCCTAAAAACATTGTGATGCACAGTGAGTTAGTTAAGAGTATGGTCTCTGACTTAGACAACCTGAGTTTAAATTCAGTTAGGTTGGCCACTAACTATTAGGTTGGTGCAAAAGTAATTGTGGTTTTTGCCATTGAAAGTAACAGTAAAAGCCATGATTACTTTTGCACCAACCAAATAGTTTGTGTAATTAGATTGGGCAGCTTACTAAAACGCTTTAAAATTGAATTTCTTATATGTTTAATGGGTATAATAGTATCTACTGCAAAGGGTTATTATCTATATGCAGTATATAGTAAACCACTCATTATTGTTCAAAGTCATGGTTTTGCTGGAAGCTTTGAAATTTATAGCAAGAGGATAATAAATTTACCCACAATCCAGGCTGCTTTCATTCAAACATGATCAAGACTTCAAATGCTATCCAGAAAGCCAAAGAGATGCTAGAGAGATGGCTCAAGATTCAGCTGAATGATGATAAAAGAACCCAGAATTACAGGGGAAGTTAAGAAAAAATGACTTTGGAATTTTAAAATTAACTTGAAAGTTAGTTAACCTTCTGAGCCTGTTTTCCATTATAAAATGGATACAATAACACAGCATGTTGTGAGGCTTCAGTAAGTCTATGAATATGATGTAGATAGCACAGCACTCAGCACAGTCTGGGTGCTCAATAAATGAGAGGAACGTTTACTAGGAAGACTATCATAATGATTGTTTATGTGCTTTACAGTATGGAAGACAAGAACATAAGTGTCACATAAAGTAAATTGTGTATAAGCTGTTTCTTTTTTTTTTTTTTTAAAGGTGGTGTTTCTGAAACTTTAAAAAGTAAATTAAGAGAGAGTGAGGCAAAGGTGCACAGGGGCCAGGTCACCATGAGGAAAGGGGATGTCAAGCAATAGAACAGCAATTGAACGTCTGCCCACATGGATTCACCGAGCCCCCTTGGGGTGCCAAGAAAAGAGAAAGAAGGAGAGAATAAATACACTGATTTCCAGATGGTAGAGTGGGTGGTAAAGAGAAGGAAAATAGAGGAGTTAGAGATAAACAACAGCTGTAGTAAAAGAAAAAAGAAAAAGCAGCATGACGATGCTAGGTGAGCTTAGTCAGAAGACAGTATTCTGTCTGGGACTAAAATCCTCTGATTAGGAACAAGTAAAGGGGAGTATTTACAGAATTTGTGCTGGTAAAGAGATTAGCGACAGTGAATGGAGACAGAAACAGCCTCCTAATGTGGCACAGCTTAGGCATTTGACTGAGGCTTGAGAATAGTGGAAGAGATTAGTCAAAAGGCAAGTCAATTGAGTCCAGGGAAGCTTTGAAGCACTAATTAAAAACATACACAGAGTAAGTACCATTATCAGGAAGAAAACAACACAAATAAGAACACACAAAAAAAACTGGAGATGTGGCCTAAGGAACTCTCAGAGAAGAGAAATTGGATGTATTCTTAGGGAAAAAAAAACAAAGGCTGATGGGGCAGAAGAGACAAATTTTTATGATAAAAGAATACTAAATAACTATGTAGATACTCTCCATTCCAGGAGGAGGATCACTATTCCTAGCCCTTCTTCTACAAGAGTGAGCTGTAATTAGTGACTTGCTTCCATAGAATAGGGTAAGAGAAATCTGACAAACGCTATCCTAACCAAGTAATGAAGGTTAACATCACCAGTGACTTCACATGGATATCACGTACCCCTTGACATAATGTGGTGAGATAGGCACTTTGGCTCTATGGGATACTTTCCAAGAACTCATAACCTAATTCTAATTATGAGAAAAACATCAGACACATCCAGAGTTGGGGAAATTCTACAAGATACCTAGTCAATACTCTTCAAGACTGTTAAGGTCACGAAAAACACAGAAAGACTAAGAAATGGTCACAGACCAGAAGAGACTGGAGGGGCATGAAAATTAAAAGTAATGTGATACATTAGACTGGATCCTGAAACAGAGAGAAGAGATTGGTGGAGTAACTGGTGAAATCCAAAAGTGTGGAGTTAGTTAACAGTACTGTGCCAAAGTTGATTTCTTAGTTTTGATGACTGTACCATGGTAATGTAAGATGCTAACAATAGGGAAAAGGAGCAAAGGGTGTCTATTAGGGGACTTGCTGTACTATCTCTACATTGTTTCTATAAATCTAAAATTATTCAAATTTAAAGCAGCTTTTCAAAAAAGATGATAGCATGTTAAAAGGACACAGGAGCCAACTGAAATAGCTCCTCGTGGATCAATGGTGATAGAATTGGATTATAACCCAAGGAATAAAATAAATATCCATGATTTTATATTAATATGAGTAAATAAATAAATTAATTATTGGGGAAGAGGACAACTGTTTCTTACAGAAGAATTCCAATTAATAAATGCAGAAGAAATGAAGGAGATAGAAAACACCATTAGAACACTAGAGTAGTAATCACTACAGCCATGATCAACCAATAAATGCTAAAATTAGTGAGAGAAAGTTTATGGAGCAACAAGATAGCTTCCAATTACCTTACTGAAAATATTTATTAATTACAAAAGGGAAAGCAGTAACTTTTCATGGAGAAGCCTGGCAGACACCATCTTAAACAAGAGATCAAGGTTAACATCACTTCATTTTATAAGATATGAGCAAACATAAGACAAATCCAAAATGCAAGACATTTTACAAACCCCTGAACATTAGTTTTCAAAAGTGTCAAGGTCGAAAGACAAGGAAAGACAGAGAAACTGTCACAGATCAAAAGCAGCTAAGGAGACATGACAACTAAATACAATATAGGATCCTGGATTGATTACTGGAACAGAATAAGGACCCAAGTGAACTAAGTTGATAGTTTAGTTAATAGTATTGTACCAATGTTAGTTTCTAGGTTTTATGAGTATATCACTGTATGGCAATATGTTAACATTAAGCGAAATTGGAGAAATGAAACATTGCAAGTCTTTGTACTGTCTCTGCAACTTTTCTGTAAGTCTAAAATTATTTCAAAATTTAGAATTAGAAAACATATGAAACACACACACACACACACACACACACATACACATAAACAAAGGCCAAACAAAGAAAGCTCACTTGAGGTTTTGTGCCAAAGTACTACCAGATGCTCCACTTCCACTTCAGAATTCTGACTAATAGCATATGTTCACAAACAACGGAGATAACTGGTTGATCCATATGCTTTACTCCAAGACAACTTTGTTAGTATGTCTAGAGAACACAGGGGGTCTCCCATGACCCTCACTAAACCTAGGCTCTGGGAATCACATCTCCCACACTTCAGTGCCCAATCCCATCAGACAAGCTAGAGAATGACACGCCTCCCACCACACTGGGGAAAATCTGTCCTCTTTTGTTCACCAAGAGGGAAAAGGTAAAGAAGCAGCAGTAACATATGATTTGAAAGCAACAAGTCCAAGGAGATGTTTAAAAGGTGAACTGAGACATAATAACATTCTTTAAGAGTTTATTTGCACAAACAGCAATTCAGGCATCTGGCAGCTCCAAACCAGAAGTAGCTTGGGAGCTCCATAAAGGAAACATATAGATGAATAGGAAAGTAAAGCAAAGGAAATATTTGATGGGTTACCTACACACAGTTGGCTTATTTGGTCTATCCCATTGGAAAGTCTCTAGTTGTATCATTATAAGTTAGTTGGCTACTTTTGATTGGTTGAGACTAAGTTCTGTTGTTCTTCAAGATAGACATTTACAAGAAATAGCTCAAGTTAAGTTTTGCTTATGTTTGGAAATCAAGCAAGGTTAAGGTCATGTATGAAGCTTAACTGACTTTGTCTGCTCAGTGATTCGTCAAGCCTGGTCTCTATTTTCATTTACTTTAACAAGCATGAGAGGAACAAGCTGAGGCCCCTGCTTTCAGTGTTGTCACAGCCCCCTGTTACCAGGGCCAGTGGATGCCAAGCTCTCCCTCATTCCTTGTCTCATCAATCAGATGGATTGCTCCTTTACCCAGGGTGAGACTGCATGAAATAAGTATCCATAGGTGTTTTTCCAATATGATCGTCTCTTGATGTGTGCATTGAAAATCCTTTCATAGAAACATAAGAATGAAGGGAATAAGGGTTTTGTCTAAAATTTAATAAAACAAAAACTTTCTCAAAGGATGAATCATGAAAATATTTATTTTTTGCTTTACTCTCCATGGTATGGTTAAAAGATATGCTATATTTTTCAGAAAATACAGGATCGAGGATAAAAAGGAGATTAGGGAAAATGAAACTTATAAAACTTTATACTTCCCAAAGGA
The DNA here is from genome assembly GCF_000001405.40 of Homo sapiens. Lineage (NCBI taxonomy): Eukaryota > Metazoa > Chordata > Mammalia > Primates > Hominidae > Homo > Homo sapiens. The sequence goes on from NC_000014.9 coordinate 38,391,033, forward strand.
AATATATAAAGGGAAACTTGTTTAAGAATATGGCAACATCTCTGCATTTAATAAGATCGCTAATGTTGATTGGGGAATTCCAGCCTATTTATAGAAATAAATGATAGGTTGGTAAGTAATTTAAAAAACTGCTCTATAAATACAAATATGTAGAACCTGGCCATACTAATACAATACTAACTGACAACACTGAGTGTAGAATATCCCCTTAGAAATGAGCAACATTTAAAATATGAGAGATAATGAAGGATGGGTGAGTTTTCATCTACTTTCAAGATGTCAGAGGCCTCTGGGGTAGCTTATAAAAGCTGGAGCTTTATAAAGGTATAAAAAGCAAAATAGATGTTCCCAATGTAGATATAATTAATGTATAATTAAGAGAAAAAGTTGAGAAGTTAAAGCAGAGAGTAAAGATGCATCAGCAAATGGGTGGCACCAAATATAGACATGATCAGAATCACAAACACAGGAAAATAAAACAGAAAGAGAAACAGATGTGTCATAGTCTTGGCAAGGAGACAAGATACAAAGGTGAATGTTGGTTGGGCAGCAAAACTGACCATAATAAGCAACTATGGGAAAATGAGGTGTTTTTTACAGCAATTTAAAGAAAGGCTTAGAGGGGAGTGTTAGCAATATTAAGTCTGAAAAAGGGAAAAAAAAAGGATTTAACTGCAGACATTACAGTGAACACAATTAATTTGCTGATCTGAAGAATAAACATTTGAGTGGGTTGAATGATCTCAGAATTGATTTCAGCAAAGCTTCTGAGTATAGCCTGGGCAAACACTTGGTGGTCCTTAGTCTACCTAGAAGAAAGAGTGACCAGTGCTGTGAAACGAAGCTTGCCACCCATGATGTGCTAAAGAGGAGAAACGGAGGATACTAGGAAGTAGAGGAAATGCTCTACTGCACAGGCTGAGGAACAAGGGCCCAAAGACAAGACACAGAGAGGAAGGAATTAGCTAAGACACGGAGGAAGTGGAGGAAGGGTTCTTATAATTTGAGAATAAAAGGTTTCAATGGACAATGACCCTTTCCACAAAAATATACAAAGATATTCCAGATGAGCTTTGAGAACATTATATACCAAGGTGACCAGCAGAGACAGAAAAACATTAAAGTGCATGGGGCTATTTAATATATGTGGCTTGAAGATCTGTCAGGGAAAGCCCATCTCCAATTTAAGGGGAAGTTCAGTGTAGAGGTGAAAGCAAAAATGGTGACACAGAACCAGAGGTAGCTCTAAATGAGGGAGATTCTGGTGAAAATTACACGAGGAAAGGTGAATTTTTCTAAAGTCACCTGTTTTTATCATTTTGCAAAACCTGACTCACATATTTTGCCTTTTTTACCTTCTTTTCCACTCATTTTTGTAAGGTTGTAGTCTTATTAATTTATTAGTAATTAACAATAATTACTTCTTAACCATGGGTAAATTGTCTTTTTAATTGATTAATGTGCATATAAAGTGCCTCATAAATTATTACTACAGCATATTTGGAGTTTCCATAGTTATCAAGGACAATCAAGCTGTGTTTACATATACTTAGATTGACCTAAACTTTGCAGAATTCCTATTGGTTGAATTTTCTCGACTTAATTATCCCAAATGTGACTCAAGGACTCTCAATCACAAGAATACAAGTCACAGTGAATAATTTTGTAGTGAATTAATATTAATAGCTAATGATTTTTGAGTACTTACCAGGTGCCACAAACTCTGCTAAGTGCAAAAATGTATCATCTGAATGTCTCTTCAATGAGAATCCATGACATAGTACAGTACTAATTTTACAATTAAGAAATAAGGTTCAGAAAAGTTAAACAATCCACTGAAGGTCACAATGTTAGCCTACTCGGGCTGCCATACAAGATACCACAGACTGGGTGGCTTAATCAACAGAAACGTATTTTCTCACAGCTCTGGAGGCTAAAAGGGGCCAGGAGGGTTGGTTTCTGGTGAGATCTTTCTTCTTGGCTTGCCAACAACTACCTTCTTGCTGTGGCCTTTCCTCTGTGTCAGTATGGAGAGGGAGAGAGCTCAGTGTCTCTTCCTCTTCTTACAAGGACACCAGTCCTATCAGATTAGGATCCTACCCTTATGACATCATTTAACCTTAATTACTTCCTTAAAGGCCCTATCTCCAATATATAGTCACATTGGGGGTGAGGACTTTAAAATATGAATTTTGGGGGAAACCAATTCAGTTCATAATAGTTAATAAAGGAAGGAGTGAGGATTGAAACCCAGAAGTTCAATTCCAGATCCTGTCCTATTGTACTTTTCTGCCTTCATATGCCATATAGATGAAAGTACGTACGCAGCACGTAACTGTTTTTATATAATTTTAAGTAAAATACCTAGCCATTTATTTTCCTATCACAGATCAAACATGTATAACCTGTCTCTCATGAAAAAAAATGGGTAAATTCATAGTTTATAGTTTGTGGAAGTTAAACTCTTGAATTAATGGTAGTATGACTGTTATCTGCACGTAGAGTTTTCTGCTTCAGAAAATTAGGCTAGATGACATTCACTGAGGCTGAGTATACCATGATTGGGGTAGAAAGTATTAGGTGTTTGTCTGAATTAACTTAAGGTAAATTTGAATCTATATGCAAGCCAAGCCCAGTTGAGGATAAGAACATTTATCTATCTATTTACTAAGCCTACATTATAATCAGGTGCTAGACACTGTGCCCTCAGGTAGTCATGAGTATAGGAAAGTCAATGAGAATGATGCTTACTCCCATAGGAAAGCATAATAGGTTCTGGGGGTCTGTGCTGTGTGAAATGGGAATATAAAAGAGGGTGTGGCAATTCATACATAACATGTATGAATATCGACCAAGGGGCAAGTGCAGGCTAGGGAAGCAGATGAAAGGCAATCAAATAAGTGCAAATTCAGGAAAGGGAGAAACCAAGAGAAGTTCAATTGTATTGATAATTTTAAAATAGGAGATAAAGTGATCAGATGTCTTTGGTATCCTTTAATAGGGAAGAAGATAAAATTAGAATGGGAAATTAAGCCCCCCCAAATTATGTAAAATAAACCAAGCTGGTAGTGTTTTCTACCAGTTTTTCTTATATATCTCAATTATGAGTATATAATCAGGGATCAAGGCAAAGACTCCTATGCATGCACACACACACACACACACACACACACACAGATGCAAAGTTGAAACATCAAAGGAGTTCCTCTCAGTAGAATGTGCCTAAGAAGACAGAAGAATGTGGAGAATACGCCTCTAAAAGAAATGCACAGAGGCAGGATATAGCACGCTTGAGGAGAAAGATTTTTTTTTAAGTTCTTAAGAGGTCATCAAAATATAAGAATCAGGGAAAAGCAGAGTCACTGCATGTGTACTTTACTTAACAAAGGGCCAGCTACAATGAATATAAACTCCAGGTTCAAGAATGCCTGGTGACACTAACACCAGAGGACAGTGGAGAGAAGAGGTGGCAGGGCTACAATGGGTCTGTGACCTGCTGTTGAGATGGCAAAGGTACATAAAAATTATTCCCTGCAGATTCATGGAAAGCCTCCCTGGAAAAGGATAGGTTGTTCACATCTGACTCTCTTATTTGTGAGCTGATTACAGAAAGAGAGCTTCAATTTCAAAGCTTAAGTATTTTTGTCTATACTCTTCTTCTAACAGGTGTTCAGTCAGGAGAAAAAAGACCTAACACTGGTCCAGGATGTTTGCCCACTTTCTTGAGATTTAAAATTCAGAGAGGGAGATGAAACATCCATATCCACACACAAGATTTTAAAAAATACCATTAGAAAAACTAAGTCATTGTAAATGCCAAGTATACAACAGTTATTAAGAGGAGAGTGAAATTGCAGGAAATCTCTGAAGGAGATATGCACCCTTGGGAAGAATCAAATATGCAAAGAAGGTAATAAATTTCTGAAGCCTTCTTTGAATTTCCATATTTCATTTGAATAAAACTTTTGGGCACTCCCTTAGGTTATGTGGCAGTGGAAGCCAGATTCATTCTAAATCTCCTGAAGTGGTTAAATTATCATCTAATTCATTTTGGTTTTACTTGATTGCCACAAAACCTGGAAAATGTTAATAAATCAAGATGTCTTGGTGATGACTTATTTTTGGAAATACATAGTACTTAAAGAATTTAGTATAATAGTCCATGTTGAAAATTGTTCCAAGTTTTCTTTGTTATGCTTCCTTCTAAAGATTTTCCCATCATTCATTATTTAAAAAATTAACTGGGTTTAACAGAGAACTGGCTAGCCTATAATCTTGTCAGCTGAGCACAATGGCCTATAGAAAAGACACTTGGGGAATTTATTTTTACCTTGGGGTGGATTTGTTGCCGTAATGGACCTAGTTCTTGTTGTTACCTAATTTTAAATGTGTAAGCCTTCTTAGAGGCAGGACTTAGGTGTTGTTTAAGATTGATACTTTGACATCCTTCCAGATGATTCTCCGTTTTTGACAGGTAAGTTCACTCTCCTCTACTACCTGAAATGTTTCCCTTGCAGTTTTGTATTTTTAGACTTTGTAGTTGGAAGTCATTTTTCTTTTCCTTGTTTTTCCACTTCTCTTCATTATCTTTTCCTTCTCCCCTCCCTTATTGACCTGCACAACAGCACCAAGCATGAGTAAATAACATAGTTCTTTGGCTGGAGGACCGTGTCTAACTCACAAAGGGGCTGACTGATGTGAATCTGGAGTGAGTTCTCCATAGCAGTTTGCTGGGTGCCCTCCATCCAAAAACCTGCCCAGCATCATTCTCACTATTTCTTCCTTATATCCCACATTATATGATAGCCCTATTGAACTAATTCACAATTCCTTACATTTCATCCTCCTCCCTGCTCTCTTCACTGTGTACAGGCTGCTCCTCTGCCTGGAGCACTCCTTCCCCAACTTCTACGTGCATCTCAAGATGGAGCCAATAAGTCTTCCCTCATTCGTCCCATCTCCATTCCCCAGCCTCTGTCGGTCACCACCTTCTCTGTGCATCTTTTCATCATGGCCTGGACCATGAAGCTCTGTGCTTTTTCATTAACTGATCTGAGAGTCCCTCCCCTACCTGCCTTGGCATGGCACCTGGCCCAGAGCAAATGCTTAATAGATTCCTTTGGATGAATGAGGACAAAGAGGGTGTGCAGATAGCATTTACAGAAGACACAGGTTGTACTTGAGAGTCATCATGCTGGATGATAAAAGCAGGTTCCGAAAAAACAGCAAACCACATTTGACAGGAAGGAATTTCATAAGAGAAAAATGTCAAGTTTTGTGCTTAGCTTCTAAACAACCAACTGAAGATGTGTAGAGTTGTGGAATATTAGTTTAGGTAAATAATACTTCATGGTTTATTTGACTCTAGCTCAAGCTCATAGAATCCAAAAGTTCAAAAGCACACTACAGGCCACTTCGTTTAACCCTCTCCTTGGTTTATGATCATTGAGTTCCCTCAACAATGTGCCTTCTAAGGAACATTTTTTTTTCTTCTGTGTGAACACTTCCACAACTTTGTCAGCCATGTGCTAGTTGACAAAATGAAATAACATAAAATAAAAATTTTTAGGTGTGTCAGTGAAAATAGCATGCCCAAAGGGGTAATTGTGTGGTTGTTCTCACTTCTATTATGACAGTTATCATACTGCATTATTGACAAGCATTTGTGTCCTTATGTAACTTCTCTATTGTAATGTGAGTTCTTTGAAAACAGAATCTCTGCCCTGTCAGCCTTCCTATTCCTAGTATCCAGTATGAGGTACTCAATAAACAAATGCCGACTGCAAGAATAAATGACGACTCCATGACTGTGACATGCACGGGTTAGCACAGTGGACTGGGAGTGCAGGGCTCTGATGTCAGCCTTGAGTTAGAACAGCAGCCCTACCATGTACTAGCTTTGTGACCTGTGGCATCTCATCTCACCTCTCTAAGCCTCAGGGGCTTTTTTTGGCTAAAATAATAATAAATGTTTTGAGGGTTAAATGAGAAAATAAATGTAAGCATCCAGCATTGTCATCCTTCTTGAAATCACATTAATAGAAATACTGACAAAGAAAATCCAGAATGATGAAGAAACCTAAATCCATATCATATAGTGAATAGTTCGGGGTACTTAGAATGTTTTCCCCTAAAGAAGGGAAGGCTTGGAGGGAACCATGACAGTTGAATTATTAATGCAAATAATAATAACCTATGTGCTTGATGTTTTATTTAAGAAAGAGCTTCTACTTGTTATGTTTATTGGGTTTTCACAATAGCTGCATAACATAGGGAAGGAGAGCAGGCATGCATCACTATTCTTAGGCATTAAATGAAGAAACTAAGGCACACAGTTGCTGCATGCCTAATACCACACAGCTGAGCATAATGAAATTTGGGCTGACCCCAGGTGTGCTGGTTTGTGGACCATTTCTCTTTCTTCCACAGCACCTATCCTCTAGATGCGCATGGAAGGTGAATCTTACTTACGTGGAAGTCAAAGTACAGATTAATGGATAAAAAATCATAAATAAGTGGATAATGCCTCATTATAGAGAGGAGTTTTTGAAATAATGACAGTGATCCCAAATCACAACTGAATGAAGAGCCTTATGAAGTAGTAAACTCCCTGATTCTTTGTATTTAAGCAGAGAATGAATGCCCACCCATTGGAGATGTTGGGAAATAGTGGACACGAAGATGTCTAAGCTTCTTTTGAACACTAGCTATGACTCTAAGTCACTTATTCACAAAATATAGAATTCTACTCATTAAAAAATTCCCTGTTTACTCCTCACAAAAATATTACGAAGTGACAACAATGGGGACTCTGAGGTCTTGAAAAGAAAATTGTTTTAATTCAAAGAGGTTTTACATTTATCAGTGAAAAAAGGGGGAAAAAAGTCTTTCACATCAGTGTATCTAACAGGTGATTCTTTGCTAATGATTCAGGAAAATTTCTTGACTCTTACATTGTTTGTGGAAATTCTAATATATGTCCTCTCCAAACAAGGCTAGTTTGTAAACATGGTCTATGTAACAAGAACTATCATAGCCTAAACTTTTTGAAATTATGGATATTACTTTAAATCTGTAACTCTATCCCAGTTGAGATCATCTCAACAGTGTTTATAGGCAACATACAAATTAGACATAATTAAAGATGATGCATTCACATGTTTTAATTACTGCTCTCCTATGCAGTAGTTTGACTAAATGTAAAAATTATCTCAGGGCACAATATTCCAAGGGATGCACAGAAATAAAAAAGTTTTGCAATTTTAATTTGCTCTACCACTCCACTCTGAATTTTTTTCTGAATAATTTTAAGTATGATTAGATTTTTCCCAAATCCATTTCACACAGTTATCAGAAGGAAAATCCATAAAGTATATGGATAAACTAGATGAGAGTTTGACTCCTAATAGAGTAAAATCTTAATTAACCCACAATGGAGAAGTTTATCATTTTTTTCTATAGAATTTTAGAAATCATCCATTAATTTTCCTTCAATTACATTTTTAAACTAAGAAAAAGACTCTAATAAGAAAATATTACATTAACTTAATTAAAATATAATAGTATAAGCACATAAGAGAGTAGTAGATTTTCTAATATTTTATATGTATTTTAACAGAAGGGTTGCAGAACTAATAAGAGATTATTTAAATTACTTCCTAAAATTAATCTAAAATTGTTCCCAAAAGGATATTTAAAAATTCAATTTAATTTTTTTAAAAGACATATTTCCATATATTTAGAAATATGGAAAAACTTGGTTACTGGTGGAAATTGATCACTAAATATTTAAATAGTGAAAGCCAAGTCATTTGAATTCAAGATAAGTTAAATAAAGTTGAAGATCAACTTTTATTTAACCTTTAATAGGTGAGTGTTCTCATAAAAGGAAATAGATCTTTTCATTTCAAACTATATTTCATTCAATTATGTGCTGAATATAGAATGAAAAGCTGAGATGATGACACATTCTGACAAATGAAACAAAAAAGGTAGCAGTATCCTTTGTCAGTTTTCACTGATTATCTGGCAAAACTCAATCACAGATTTTGTGCTTTTGAGATGGAACAGCTATTTAAATGGTAATTATTATATTTATGGATTTTCATAATGCTTTGAAAGCATGAAAGCAAATAATAAAGACTTTTCTCCTGAATTATATTAGCTCAAATATAAGATCAAGAGCCGATTTTTTGGTATTTTATTGATTGTATAACTTAATGTATTCTGTAATTGCCTTTTGTAAAGTTTAAGATACTTTAGGTTACTGTTGGATGATATGGAGCATCATTGAGAAAGAAAGTAATTGAACACATTTTTAAAATAACAATGACTTGAAAATTCTGCAATCTGATGAAATAAGAGATTCGTAGAAGCCATGGGAAATTTCAGGAGGTGAGGAGGGAACATAGCTGTCTGTTAAGAACATCTTAGAGGCAAAGATGAGAAATTACTACCTTGGCAGTGGTTGAAACAGACACATTTGAGGAAGCAGTTTTGATTTTTAAAAATCAGCTGAAATATAGCCATGAGAATCAGAACCTGTGCCACATTCAGCGA